>NT_187556.1:600000-870480 GCF_000001405.40 Homo sapiens
CTCCCCTGAACAGCTAAATAATGCTATAAGGCATAAATTTCTGCTGATAGGCCCCAGAAGATTTTCTACAGAGTAAGTCCAGTATCTACATGAAAACTTAAAATTCTAGAATCTAGTTACTTTTCAAATGTGCATATTCTATTTTCATCCATACATAAAGATGAAGACACACATAACTGACAGGTGATACCAAAAGTGCAATGTACAACTAGCAGTTACTGTCACTCACTGTAGCTCCTCTCATAGACACTGGCAATTTGGAATTATGGTTTCTCAACTAAGAATCAGCAGCAAATATTAGAGAAAAGGAGCTTCTCTTCGTCAGACCCCTGCAAGACAGGCTGGTTTGCCTATTGACTCATGTAATAGTCCACTTCTAAGAGTCTAAAGTGTGAAAAGGCCTTTAGTCAAGGCCTTGAGACTCTGAAACTGATGAATTCTTATTAACCTTTTCCTATTTGTTGTTTACTTGTTTACTTAGTTCCTGAAGGAGATATATACCTGCAATCACAAAAAGATACATAGATAAAATATCTAAACAAGGGAAATATTTGTATACTCTTTGCTTTAGAGTTGCTAAAGTCAATTATTTGACTATTTGTAAACTCTTTGATTTTCGAGTTTCTTGAGAAAGTAATGAGGGGGTTCTAATTATATGCCAACTAAATATGGAAGGCAATTAAGACATATAATCAAGCCCAAATCGATTCTTCATCTAACCCCTAAGTAATTTCAGATTTTAGCTATCCTTAGCACTTCCATGACTCATAGATGCATAATTTTCCTTAAGATGTCCTGAGATTAAAAATGGCTGGTTCCTTAGAAAGACTAGTATTATCAAGACTTCGCATCAGGATTTTACTATCTACAGGGAGTAACTAGGGCTCCAGAGATTCTAAATACCAACATTCTCTTACCTGAATACACACAGGCCTTTTGCATAGTTACAGCATCTGCCACTCAGCAGGAGCTACAGTATAGGTTTAAATATTCTTTCACTTTCATATATCTACGCACACATACATATATACACGTGCCCACATAATTCTATGTATCCATATATCACTGTAATTAATATTACAGTGACAAGTTAATTTTAGAATGTTAATACTATTTATAATGTTACCAGGTATTCTTTAATAAAACATCAATTTATCCAATTACAAGGGCTTTGATTACAAAAATATCCTGAGGTTTAGCATTACCAATTGCCTGCATGATGAGAAGGACTACCACATTATCTAACAGGGATGACATCAGGTATAACCAGAGTGCAGTTGCATGAAAAGCAGCTAGAGCATCCACCAACTGCAGGCCTTTCAAGAATGATACTGTGTTTTGCCTAATAAACAACAGAACATCAGTCAAAGCACATGGCAGTGTCCAGGTAACTGTAAAAAGTCAGGACCACAGATCAGAAGGAGAAAATAAAACCTAACAGACTTCATACAAAAGTAGCCTGTATGAAAGAAAAGCCCAAAGACGGAGATTTTCACAAGTTCCATACTGAAATGAATATGCAAGCATACTACATTCCTATGTTTCAAATTAGCCCAGGGAGTTGGCTATCCCTAATGTAATCACTAAAAGTATCTAGAAAATCTAAATAAATGAATGAACAATAATCATTTCAGAGTGTATGCTAGTATGTTGAAGTTATAATAATAGTCCACTAGTTATTTAAATTAATTCTGCATTCCTGAAATCTTGCACTTGTAAACGATTATCAATGGTGTTTTTAATTAGAATAGATGTTGACGCAGGTTTATATGTATCAAAAACACATGACTTCTTAGTCTTAAAGTGACTAAGACATACTTCTCATTTCTGAAAACAAACCCAAAACCTGAACTGAGAATGAATAACTTTAACAAAATAAACCCACAAAAAGTTCTTGTGTTCTCTGCATATTCTCTATATCATTAAAATGGCTCTGGGGGTAGAAGGGATTATATACTTGCTTTCTCAAGAAGGTTTTGACATAGACCCTCAAGGTAAGACAGAGACACACACAAGCACACCCACTCAACACAGTGCACACCACAGTTCCCAGCAGCAGAGCCCCAACTCTGAGCCACAGACCTCAACTCAGGTCCCAGTTCCGACCTCATGAGGCCATTGTAAAGATTAAAAGATATTATACACAAATTAGGAGGTTTCTCATAAATGTTAGCCCCTTTCCTGACCTTTGCCATCGCAGATACACCTTTTAGCTCTTCTGTGCTACAAAAACAGTACCACAAACTCACTACCTTGCTCATTCCTAATGTCTGACACCCCTATCACTAAAGCCCCTTTCCATAATTCCTTTTACAGTTCAATTCAGGGCCTAAGTGTGGTGAAGCTGCCTGAGACTAGAGACCACAGTATAAGGTATGCCAAACCCCTGCTCTCTTCTGAGGCTTCCCAATTCCAATATAGGCAGACAGACAGGCAGAGCATAATAATACATCCCAAATGCCTTAAATATGAAACTCAGAAATAAAATTGAAATAGGACCCACTATTCATGGCTCAGTCTAATTTATGTGAGAATATGAGTTTAGCAAAAAGAGAGGAAAAACCAAAAAGGCAATTAAAAGAGGAAAATAAAAGTTTACTGAAATAATCCAAGATCTAAAAATGCCCTTAAACACATTTTTCATCCTATGGATCTGTCCTTAGATACATAAGCAAGCAACCTACACCATAAAAGATTTGGTATAAAACTGAAAGTGGGGAAGCAAAGAGTAGCAGAAAATTCATCAGCAAAATGTCATTTCTGTATCTTTACTATCATAGCTCCACCATCTGGGTTATATTTTATAGTTAGTTGTCTGGTACAAAAATAAAAGATGACTGGTGAAGGTTTCTACTTCTATCAACATGACACTGAATTACAGTACTATTTCTCCTCACTTCTAGAGATGTGCCATTTGTCTTCCTACAATCCACAAGCAGAACCTTTTAAATTTCAGCACCAACAGTCCAATCTTACACATAGCAGAAGTAGATCACTTCACCTGCACAACTATATTTGAAAAATAATGCTTTCAAACTAACACAGTAAGTCTGTTCTTAACAAATTTAAACAACTCTCAATAGCTTTAATTTATGCTTATGAAACTCAAGAAAATTAAAATCAGTAGTTCAGCCTACATGTACCATCATACTAAATATCTATTAACAGATGAAATCTGATGACAGTATGCACTTACAAAGAAAAGCAACCTTTAAGTAAACCAGATGATTAATTTTGAGTGAAGAGATAAGATAAATGGATGAGCCTACATACAGACAAAGTTCAGCCAGATGCTAAACTTGAGTTTTCACATCACAAATTCAGATATATTAATAAGTAATTGTTTTGTTTAAACCTCTTGTAAAAAGAGAATTCTCTACTTACATAATATTGATTTAAGAATTAAGTAATTTCAAAAGTATTGTGAACTTTCCCTACTGAAAAAATTAGTTATGGTTGGAGGGGAGAGGAGAAAGGTTTTGACATAAAGTTTGTAAGAGTAACTAGTTTGTGTACTCTTAGTTGAATTTAGGGATAGAACGCCTGTGAACTTTTATTTTCTGTTTTATTTTACAAGACAAATAGTCAAGAACAGTGATATCATTAGCTATATAACGTTTAAATAGCACAAATATAATTACATATTATTATATAATTTATGATGTTAGTGCTTTTAGCTAGTAAAAGCCCAGCTGAAATTGAAAAATATTTACGAAGAGATGTAACAAACAATACGTTTGACAGTCAGGTTCAACAGGAGAAAATAATAGGGAACTTTAGAAGATATCCCAGAACGACTAAAAATAATGGGTGCAAACACACAAATATGCATATCTATATTTGTCTTGACTTTTTTCTTAAAACATATATTTAAAATGAAGACATTAAAAGTATATGGTTCACTTGATTCTTTGCAGAAGATGAACTCAAATTTTTGACGATATGCTTAAGAAAATATTCATGTGTCATAAATCAGCAAAAGATGAAGTCTGTAAGACTTTAAGAATCTTGCTAAAAATTTTAAGGCAAAATATTTTTATCTAGAATACTCAGAGATTATTCAGAAGTTAGTCAAAAAAAAAAGAAGGAAACGACATCCTTTTCATATCACAAACTTTTTGAAGAATACCTATGACCTCTCTGGGTGTCCGACAATCAGTAAAAATGGGTTGAAGCAGAGAAATTAAGAAATACTAGGGAGAAATAAATCCTTGGAACTTTTTGTACAATTATAAAGGCTTGAAACTCTACTTTTAAAATGGGCCTGATTCATAGACCAATGTTGTTACCCATATAAAACAAAATAAGTGGAATAAAATCAGGGTTTTGTTTTGTTTTTCTTGAGCCAGAGTCTTGCTCTATCGCCCAGGCTGGAGTACAGTGACGCGATCTCAGCTCACCACAACCTCCGCCTCCTGGGTTCAAGTGATTCTCCTGCCTCAGCCTCCTGAGTAGCTGGGACTACAGGCGCCCGCCACCATGCCCAGCCAATTTTTGTATTTTTAGTAGAGACGGGGTTTCACCATGTTGGCCAGGATGGGCTCGATCTCCTGACCTCATGATCCACCCACCTCGGCCTCCCAAAGTGCTGGGATAACAGGCGTGAGCCACCATGCCGGGCCCTAAATCAGGTTTTAAGGATAGATGGAGAGAGATAAACTCATCTTCATTGAGAACACAATATGGGAGATGGTGAAAAAGACGAGGGAAAGCATTAATTTTATTGGCAGTATCTAGTCATAAGTGAGGGAAAGCACTAGACATTATAATGACCAAGTGCCTCCTTTAATAAAGAGTGTATAGAATAGAAACTAACATAAAGTGATTTAGGAGGACTGAAAGAGCCACTCAAATGATTTTAGATGTTGTCTATGAAAACAGAAGGCCTTTGCCAAAGACATCAGGAGATATTTAACCTGTTTAACCTTTGCACTGACTCCACATATCGGCATTAAAGTATGAACAAATTATCAAGATGCTGAAGGCTGAAAAATACTGGTAAGACAGATCAGGTCAAAAGTTATCAAAACATGGTCCTGGCAACAAAAGCATCAACAACACCTGGAAACTTCTTGGAAACTCTGTGGGTGGGACCCACCGATCCATGGTTTCAGAGCTCCTGCAGGTGATACTGATGCAGGCTAAAATGTGAGAACCATTCATCTAGGCTGATCTCCAAGCTGAGCTAAAAGTTACATGACAGTTTCAATCCTATAGGTTTTCTTCCTTCAGAACTTTTTCCTTTTCAAGAAAAAAACTGTAAGTAGATTCATAGGTTTTCTTTATCAGATAGCCAGCTAAAACAAAAATATAAGCCTGTATAAAATACCAATTTTTAAAAATTTGAACAATTAGCCATGTATTTATTCAACAAGAAGAAATTTATGGAGTGTCTAATATTTGCTGGACTAATATCTGACAGAAAGAAATACCTAATTTTTGGTCCCTGTCCTCAAGAGAGTCACAATGTGGCAGAAGAGATAAGCATGGTAGGAAATAACTATAGCACAGTTATATGTGATAAAGCAGAGTTAGAACGCTATGAGAGTTCAGGGGAGAGAGAAAATTACTCCACCTGGGAAAACAGCAAGACTTCAGAGAAAGCGACCTTTGAAACATCCTTCATTAACCCAGCACTTAGTGAGCACACACTATTCTAGCCGCTAGGGATACGAAGATGGATAAAAGGCAGAGCCACACCTTTTAGAAGGTAAACCTCTATGACATATGTAGAGCAATAATGTAAAACAAGAGAAAGAGTAGGCAAACTATGTTCTTCATTTTTTTTTTTTTTTGAGATGGAGTCTCGTTCTGTTGCCAGGTTGGAGTGCAGTGGCGATCTTGGCTCACTGCAACCTCCAACTCCCGGGTTCAAGCACTTCTGCCTCAGCCTCCCGAGTAACTGGGATTACAGTTGCATGCCACCACACCTGGCTAATTTTTGTATTTTTAGTAGAGACGGGGTTTCACCGTGTTGGTCAGGATGGTCTCGATCTCCTGACCTCGTGATCCGCCCGCCTCAGCCTCCCAAAGTGCTGGGATTACAGGCGTAAGCAACCATGCCCGGCTGTAGGCAAACTATTTTCTATCTGGGAAAGCGGACAATGATTCAAAAAAAAGATGATTCCAAGCAGTTTTAAAACACTGCAAAAAAAGAGGGCGTTACAGACCAAATAAGGTGTATTTGCAAAAGACTGACAAGAGGAAATATAATGAGCTATTGGCACAAGCAATTTTGTAGAACATCTAGTTAGGAAGAATAGAACAGAAGAGATTAAAACCTGGGAGATGGAGTGGCTCATGCCTGTAATCCCAGAACTTTGGGAGGCCGAGGCAGGAGGATCACATGAGGTCGGGAGTTCGAGACCAGACTGACCAACAAGGAGAAACCCCGTCTCTACTAAAAATACAAAATTAGCCAGGCATGGTGGCACATGCCTGTAATCCCAGCTACTCGGGAGGCTGAGGCAGGAGAATTGCTTGAACATGGGAGGCGGAGATTGTGGTGAGCCCAGATCACGCCATTGCACTCCAGCCTGGGAGACAGAGAGAAACTCCATCCAAAAAAAAAAAAAAGACACCTGGGAGATAGGAAGCTGGGACCTTATCTTGCATGGACTTCTACACCACAAAAAGGAGTCTGCCTTTTTTCATTTTATTTTATTTTATTTTTGAAGGTGTTGTAATGCCTTTAAAGGGTTCTACATGAGGGATAATGTGATTTGCACCTTAAAAAGGTCAGTGTGGTAGCAACAACCAGATTCAAGAACTGGAATCTCATCAGAAAGACCTAAACATGTAATAGTATGCCTAAATATGCTTGGATATTAGTCAACCAATCAAGAAATATTTATTGCATACCTACGTGTACAATAATGTGGAAAGATTTAGATTTTAGTGCTATATTAACATACATATTTATGGAGAGATCAAACACATTATATATTCAGGAAAACAAATTTGTGTATGTAATTTTTTAATCCAAAATGCAATAACAAGTGTTTAAAATAAATAAGTCTCAGAAAGGCTTCACTTAAATTTAATTTCAGACTTAAAATAATGTCATAAACATTGTCTTCACTCTAAGATTTATAAGATAAGTGAAATGATGTAATAAAATGCCAACTTTTCACCCCTTTCAATTTAAGCTAAATTCAGTTTTCAAAGATAGGTGTGATGGAAATTCATTTTTAATTTTCTCTATACTGCGTGTCACCAAAAAAACCAACATGATATACTCAACTAATCTAGTTCAAAGTTCCAGTTCTCAAAAATATGAAGGTTCTCTGATTTGTAAATAGACCTAAACTTTATTGTCATGGCTCATAATAAATCCTGGGAGAAAGAAAAATGGCCAGAATATATTTTATTCAGAAATCAATTAGGACCACTGAGAATTATTTAAATGTGATAATTTGAGGGGATACACACAGGGAGGAAAGTGTCTGAGAATAAAATCATTTTCTTTATACATAAACTAAATTTTATTCTCTTTAAGAAATAAGGCCTTTAAGAAAATCACCATTCTGCTTGTCCCTATATTCTTCTATAAGAAAATAGTGATTATGTGAAATTCCTTAAAATTTCTATAATAAAGACCAAAATATAATGTTAAATCAAGCAAGTGTTACAACATCCATTTGACTATGTTAAAAAGATCAAAATATGTTACATAAAACTGATATCACAGAGTAATCATGCATGGTTTAACTGGCTAATATCTCTCCCTTACCTCTTCCTGAAGTGCTCATGCTAACACTAGAGATAACTGACCAGAAAAATCCAAGGCACTGGGAAAATGAAATAAAGGAAACAAATACTGAATAAAAATGTTAGTTTCGCTATGTACTTTTTTCATTGTATATGTACTTTTTCATTAGATAATTATTTCTCGAGCACCTGATATGTACAAGAGATGAAAAACATAAAACAAAGTTGATGTCTTCATGGAAAACAGGCTAGTATGGAAGAAAGACACTAAACAAGCATATGGAACAGTGACCAAAGTGCTAAGGCAAGGAGGCAAAGGAGTTAACGAACAGAAGGGTAGAGACGGGGTAATTAGGTCAGCCTCTGAGAAGGCAAAATATGAGTAGAGACCAGAATGGGAAGATGGAGGTAATGCCATTCCAGGCGGAGGGAATGACAGGCACAAAGACTTTGAGATACGAATGATCTTGGAGCATTCCACGATCAGAAAGCTGAATGAGGGAGGCAGAGAGCAGAAGACAATTTAACGTGGAGCTAGCCAATAACTGGATTTGGATTTTATTGACTCCATTGAGAAGCCAGTGGAGGATATGGGGTAGAATTCCTAAGTTCCTGATATCTGACATGTGTTTTTAAAAGATCAGTCTGCTGTGAGGAGAAGAGCCTCAGAGAGGTAATAAGGGAAGCTGGGAGAAGTGTGGGGAGGTCCATGTTTGAGGAGGGAGACAGGGAAAGCATGGATTTTTAGCAGTGCTTCCCAAATGCTTTTATATTATGAAAAACAAACAGGAGATGACAACAACTGTGTGGCACCTTGAAGTAAAAAGACAACTGTCATAGTTCCAGGCTCCACCCTATAGGCTAGGTTATCACACTACAAATTTTTCAACACCTGCAATACCACTGTCAGGGAACACCAGTATGCCACAGCTCAAAACCACTAAACTAAGAGTGAGAAATTGTCAGATTGGGACAGGTTGCTTAAAAATAGAATATGAAGAGGAAAGCTTTTCACAATAACCTAATTAAGGAAACCAAAACATTATGTATTATGATTCCACTGAATATCAAGTTTAATATGCACATGCACACACACATATATAATGTACATATATGCACATACATACATGCATATGTATGTGCCACCTGTCAAAATATTAGGAGTCATCTCTAGAAAGCAGAAGGTGAGATTATGGATTACTTTCATTTTCTGTGTATTTCTTCAATGATTTCGTTACTTACAGTAAGTTTGCACTGGTTAAGTAACACGAATAGAGAGAGGCAAAAAATTTCAAGTATGTTTTAGAAGTATAATTCAGTGTGTGTTCAATTTTCATTCTTTTATGTGAAAATCATAAATCCCTAGGAAAGGGCCATAAAAATTCTAAGTATACTACCTTTCTAGCAGTTGAAGATATAACTTAAAACATTCTTTCCTTTTCATTTAAAGAAAGTTAAAAGGAAACTAAAAAAATGTGACTTCCTTCTGTAACATAAGAACCCTTCCACACAACTGCTTTCATTTTCCAGTCCATAACATATGTAAAGCAAACGTACAACATGGACGTAATTTCATAGGAAAGGCCTTAAACTATATAGACCCAATTAACAGTAGTCATCTTGGGGGAGAAATTGAATGAAATGGGTGAAATGAGTTTCACTTTTCATTTTACTGATGTCTGTATTTGAATATTTATAAGTATTTATCAAAATATAATTGCATAATTTAGAAAATCTTTTTTTAGACCTATAGAGTATATTATTCTCTGGATTACACTTCTGATGACATGGCTTCCTAAAATATATTTTTTTTTATTCTATTTTTTAAAAGATTGGATTTCATTCTAAATGTAACAGAACAGGCTTATAGCAGAGGAGTGACATAATCTGAATTATGATCTGAAGAAGTTTGTTTTGATGACTGTGAGAAGTGGTTTGTGGGAGACCAAGATCCAGAAGCAGAGACAATGTTAAGGAGACCACTGCAGTTGTTGAAGGAAAAGATGACGGCATTAACCCTGAGGATGCCCAAAAATAAAATAGAGAAGATGGCCTTTATCATTGCTACCCACAATATCTAGCATAGCAAATGGCATGTAGTAAGCCTCCTATAAAGAGGTATTCGGGTAAGAAAGTTAGGAAGAGAGGCCAGCCATCCAGAAGGCTGGGATGGAGATTACCGCTTTTCTAATTGGAGCTGGAGAAGCGAAACATGTTTCTTGAAGATGCTTGTATAATGTCCATTTATGAAAGCAGTTTCCTAATCTCCTAATAAATAAAAGACTCATATAACCACTACCACAACAAATTTGGAAGCAGGGACAACAAAAATTATTTCAAAACAAGCTTAGTTCTCCGTTCAACTCCAGTATTTAAGCATGTGGTCCCTGAACTTTCATGTACATTCACTGAACTTTCATGTACATTAGAAGATGCTGCAAAAATATAGGAAGTTGTAGTAAGTTACTTTAAAGACACCTAAAAAATACTGCTTTAGCAAGCTTAACATTTAATGATATAGTTGTCCTCTAAGATCTGAAAATAAAAATTTAAATTGCAAAACAAACATGCATTTTCTTAGTTTTTCCATCTCTTTTTATGTATAGGCTGAGGTCTCTACTTAGTATTTCATCCTGAGCTTATATAGCAATAGTTTCTGTTTTACCCCTCTTGATCTGTCAATCTATCAAGCCTCTAAACTTCATTTTCTATTTTACCCATCCAAATTTAAATTCCATGTTGTCTTTATTTATTTTATATTCCAAGCTCAGTGCTCCAAATAAAACTTTCAAAAAAGAAAAACCCATCAATTTTTGTTCAAACATATTAGATGATTCATTGTTGTATTTCTTTTGGTTCATATGATTAAAGATGTAAAAGCAGAAATCAATACTTATACAGATTTTTCAATAGTTATATGGATTTAAAATTTGAGAATAATGTTCTAGAGGGCAAAAGATGTTAAAAACACTATAACAAAAAACAGCAAATTTTCCAAACTAGCACTTAAGATATTTTATTACATAATATGGTGAAACACTACATTGTACATTGACAGGTATATTTTATTATAATTTCTTTATGAAATCCATTGTCTCCAAACTTGAATTAGCAAAATGTTTGTAACACAGTAAAAACTAGCCAGATGTCTATAGTTATTACAGGGGAAGTACTGTGTGCAGAGCTTCAGTCTAGAGCAAAACTGTCCAGCAAAATTGTCTGCCACAAGAAAAATGTTCTGTATCTGTCTACATAGTAGCCACTAACCAGCCACCTGCAGGCATCAAGCACTTAAAATGTGGATAGTGCAAATGAATAAATACATTTTTAATTTTAATTTTAATAATTGCATCTGGCTAGTGACTAGCTCATTGAACAGCAGAACTTTTAAATATGAATTTTGACAAATTTGGGCAATAGCTTTTGGAGCTATATTAACAGTTAAAAGCAAAAAGAAGCAACTGGTGGGTCAAGCAAACTTTCATATAAGACACAAATTCCACAAGAATCAAGAATATAGGCTCTACTCTTAAGCACAGCATCAAGTTGGGCCCTTACATGGTGGGCTAATTATTTCATGGCACCAACAAGCAAGAATGACATGATTATGCCTAGAATCCAATACCAGGAGTTACTCAGCCTGAGAAAACTCTCCACATGTGCAAATGACAAAACTGATCAAGTGTGCTTTATGTGGATCAGGCAATGCTGTATGGCTTGGTATTACAGTCAAATATTACTTTCCAGGTTTGGATTCATCCCAATTTTATGGATGACAAATTAAGCAGCATAGTGAAAGTTAAACTGCAACTCAAAACTGTTGATACACCAATTTTATGTAGTTTCCAACCTGTTTTCTCCCTAGGTTTAAAATGTGAGACAGCCTCAATATTAAATTATTGAAACCAAATAAGTTCATAGAAGCAAAAATATATTATGCACTATACTCTCTTAAAAAAGGATTTTTTATCTCAAGAGAATCACACTGACAGACTTAATATGTAATCATTGATCTTCAATATCTGTTATCTTATCCTAAATTTTTGGCCTTTTTGTTTTCTAGAAATGAGTTATTTTAAAGAGTGTTCGACTCCCCACATACTAAAACAACACTAACTTCCCAAAGAAAAGAACAGAGTGTTTACTTAATCTTTCATATAGGTAAGCCCTAAACTAGACCCAACTACAGAGCTATGGAGGGGGCAAGGCAAAGAAGGAGGGAGAGGGAGAGAATGACAGACACTGTCTCCAAAACCAACTAAACTCTCAGTTGCTTTGGAAAATCAGTTTAGGACTAGACACTTAGACATCAGGAATTCCTACCTTTCTGTTTAATGTGATGCATTTATACGAAAAGTCTTTTTTGTGAAATAAATTTTGTAAATGAAATACCCTTTCAGTCTTTTTTATAATACAAAGTTAAATGGTACTTCTTTTTTTTTTTTCCCAAGAATTTTTAGGTGGGTCCAAAACCAATAACCAAAAAAAAAAAAAAAAAAGTCTAAGTGCTTTACATTCTAGATAATTCATAAAAAACTGGGCCAATTTTCCTTGAGTGTTTGCTGGGAGGTGGCAGACCCACGTCTACCATAGTCTTTCACCTTCATACACCCAGCTGATCTGAACTGAGCCCTGAGGACCAGGCAGAGAAGTCCAGTACTGATAGTGATGAGCTTCCTTGCCTCCACAAAGGAAGGGAAGCGAGTGCTCACCCCACAGGAACGCTCCCTGGGCCAAACACAAGGAAGACTGTAGAAGAATCAGTCAAGACTGGGGTGCCTATGAGAAGAGGTGGCTGGCAACTGACTTCTGGATAAATGCTTCATGACAGAGTTCTTGGGAGGACTTGGTAAAAAGTCCTAAGAAGGAAGAGGCAATTTCTTTCTCATTATAGAGACTATTAATGAGGGAACACTTGCTGCTGTAGCCTGTAGCAGTAGAACCAGAAGAGACCAGAATACAGTGAGCCCAGTAGTCTGCTGGTAAATGTTCAACAAATGGCAGGGAATGACAGATCATGGTTTGTGGCACTTGTTGATTTCAGAGGTAGAAATGCTCTCACCATGGCCAATTTCAAGCTACTAGTGTGAAGTTAAAGAATGTGGAGTGGGGAGAGATGTGCAGTAGCACACCATTATACGGTATTATCTACCATAAAAATACAGCAGATATAAAGCAATATCAGGAGCACAGGTAATAACAAAATGCAGCAAAATAATAAGAAAGTGATATTTTAAATATTTAGTACAGTTTCTAAAATAATCTTTTTGATTAATCACTTACATAATATAATTAGTAATGATTGTGTTAACAACAAGATCACAACTTCCTAAAAATTTAACAGTTAGCATTTGAGAGTCTGTACAAGCCGCTCTTGCACACCAGTGGTGTGCCTGATAAGTGTATGGGAGTTTTTCTGCTGTCATGAGGACACAGAAGAGGTTTTCCTGTCTTCACATGAAAGAGTACCTTGTAGAGGTGGCACTGGGACTCTAAGGGCTTCCCAGGCAGCATCTAAGTGAGAGACCACCACCGTTGGAAAGGCCAGAGTAGTGAACCACTTTGCTCCAGAAGAAGCACAGCTGTTTCTTTCCAAGGAGGTCCTTGAAGATAGAGGAGGTTGGTATGAAGCAGACTACTACATCAAGCAAACTACCCTGCCAACAATGAGAAAAAAGCCATACCCATCAGTGGAGATTGGCAGCAAAGCTAAAACATGACAAAAGAAGAAAAGCCAGAGGAAGATGGGGGGTCCTCCCCACATCTGATGTAGGTCCAGTTAACGAAGAAGATGCCTGCCTCCCTTATGTCTGTTCCAAACTCAGGAGTGATATTATTTGGAGTATTGTACTAAGCACCCACTGCTAACAAGGAAATTAAAAATAAGCAAAGATAAGTTTTTCTTTAAAGAAGAACAGCCCACTATTTTAAATATTGATATCAGATACACAGTAATACATGCAGTTCTGTTACTTCTAGGTAAGCATTTTGCCATCATATATTTACAGCAAATGCAAAAAACTGTACAGTGCTTTAAATACATAAGTCGTCATCATTAAGAATATATTTACTTTGGATAGGTCTTTATAGTTTACAAAGTATTTTTAATTTTATTATTTTTTTAGAGACAGGGTCTTGCTATGTTGTCCAGGCTCGAGTGCAGTGGCTATTCACAGGCATGATCATAGTGCACTACAAACTTAAACTCCTAGGCTCAAGCAATCCTCCCACTTCAGTGAATAACTGGGACTACAGGCATGCACCACCATACCTGGCTCACAGAGTATATTCATGAACATTACTTCATTTGATCCCCATAAAACACTTGCTAGGTGTTAATATGGTTTGGTTGTGTCCCCACCCAAATCTCATCTTGAATTGTAACTCCCACAATTCCCATGTGTCCTGGGAGGAACCTCATGGGAGATAATTGAATCATGGAGGCAGGTATTACCCATGCTGTTCTTGTGATAGTGAATAAATCTCACGAGATCTGATGATTTTTAAAATGGGAATTTCCCTGCACAAGCTCTCTCTTTGCCTGCTGCCATCCATGTAAGATGTGACTTGTTTCTCCTTGCCTTCTGCCATGATTGTGAGATTTCTCCAGCCAATTGGAACTGTAAGTCCATTAAAGCATTTTCTTTTGTAAATTGCCCAGTCTCAGGTGTGTCTTTATCAGCAGCGTGAAAACAGACTAATACAAGTGTGTAGAACAGATTTTAATAGTCACATCTTATAGATACTAAAAATGGAGCTGAGAGAAACGAAGTGACAAGCTCACTTAAAAGCCAAACTTTGAATACACTCAAAGATCTACACAATTACCCGATATACCTTGTCCTACTCCGTATATCATCATATCACCACAAAAGCTACATGATTTAGGACTGATTTGATTATTATACATGAGGTGGCAAATATACATACATTCTGCTAAGATAACTAATTTTTGAAACTTTCAATTTAAAGAAAATTTACTATAAATATAAATAACTTTTTAATTAGTCATTTGCTAACAAACACATAGATAATACTGATCATGTACTAGAAACTCTTCCAACTGCTTTAAATATTAATTCATTTGGTTCTTGTAACAACCCTATGAGGTAGGGGCAATATTACTGATGAAGACATAGAAGCAAAGAAAGGTAAGTATCTCTCCCAAGGTCGCACAGCTATTCAGTGGCAGCACCAGATTCTAACCCAGATAGTCTGGTGCCACAGTTCTTGCATTTTGCTTACTATGCAGTGTGATATATAAGTGAACTCATCAAATGGAATTACCTTTCAAAATTTTGCCCTGAACTAAGAATTGAAATTTGAAAGCATTTGAATCTCTAAGGTGGTACAACATTTAATTAATTACTTCTTAGTGTATTTTAGAGACATTAAAAATTTAAAAATTCATACATGTCATGGTCCAATATCTGTTTGACTCCAAAATTCTTATGTTGAAATTTGAATCCCCAAAGCGATGGTATTAGGAAGTGAGGTTTCTGGGAGGTGATCAGGTCATGCGGACTCCACCTTGGTGAATGGGATTAGTGCCCTTATTCATGAGAGATCCTTGCCTCTTCTGCACTGTGAGAACACAGTGAGTAGGCACTGTCTATGAACGAGAAAATAGACCCTCATTAGACACCAAGTCTGTTGGTGCCTTGATTTTGGACTCCCCATCCTCCAGGACAGTGAGAAATCAATTTCTGTTGTTTATAAGACATCCAGTTTATGGCATTTTGCTATAGCAGACTGAAGTGACTAAGCTAGCACACACATTTTCTTGCAGGAAGGACGGCAGTAGGTTGTGGATACAGAACAAGAATCAAACAAGGCTAAAGCTACTAGAAGAGCAAAAGGTCCTGAGGCTGGGAAAGGACACAGAAGTAAGTGCTATTGCTTGAACTTTTGACAATATCACTAAACGCTGCACAGTGGCACATAGCAAATGTCTACCAAATACCTGTTTCCCTTCACTTTCCAGTGGTCTGGCAGTGACTGGGGACCCAGACAGATGGGTTAATGAGGCTCAGTATACCAACGTGGAAAAAGTCTGAAAAGCACTGGATTAGGCAGTTTTAAAAGAATAAGTTTACGTGCAATTTGCTAAGAAACACTGAATTTAGAGGTCAAGCCTGATTTGAATCTTGATTATGCTACTTACTCTCTCCAGACCACAATTCCTTCTTCTATGAATTTTCATCCTTGGACCACAAAATCTAAGGTCTTTCCTAGAATAGAATCACGAGACTATAACACCAACATGGAAGGCAACATGTCCAAAAGTGCAGGATACTGAATACACATCTAAGCACACACAATGCCAAAGGGAAGAATCCAAGCAAAGCTCACAGGGAGTCAGAAATAAAACAAACTTGTGCTGAACCAGCTTTCAACTCGGAAGTTTTTGTGTGCTTCCTGAAAACAATGTTTTCAAGCTAGCCTAACCAGCGGGGCTTGTGCATGGAAGTGAAGACCAAAACTGAAGTGGGATGTGAAGGAGGAATATAGCAAAGAGTAATTTCTGAAAAACAAAAATTCTAAACAATCTGAGTGAAAATTATATCTCACTTTATTCTAGAAATCATCAACTGTAAGGAAACTTATTTATTATGATATTGAACATTGTTATTAATCTCATAAAAATCTTATGAAATCACATAGCTAATTCAATGCTAATTCGATATTTAAGTTTTTCACAAATAAGCAGAAACAAAAAGGCTCATATATTAATGCTGATTTGTTATTTTTCTGGGTGTGCATCAGTGATGAGTCAGTATGAAGTAAATGGAAAAAAGAATAAAGTCTGTGATTTATCTACCTGCCATAAATGCATCTTTAAACAGGCAAAAATGTAACTCATTTTTTCAACCAATTTACCAAGAAGAGAAATCACTAGATGAGTCCACAAAATATGAATTATTTTATGTCCTCTCTTATTTCTTCTGTCTTATTTATTATTTCACCAAAACCTATTGACTGCTGTATCATTTAAAACCCATGTATTCCATGGGGGGAAATATCTCTCTTTTATTTTTGTACCTGATAGCCATAATAAAAATAGAGAATAAAAACACTTTATAAGCTGTACAAGGAAAGAGATGGCAAGTGATTCCACTGGGATTTTATTTTAACTGGATTTGATCCTAAAGCCAATGCTCTTTAAAACTGTGTAACTTCCTCTCCAATAGTTGGCTATTACCAATAATTCCCAAAAAACTTCCTCAAAAAAGTTTATATTGAGTAATTGACTAAACAAGCCACAAGACACCACAGTTCACAATAACAACATATACAATCCCTTGTCTCCAGTCCTGGAACTGTGGCTATGTAACAGTACTTGAAATATTGAGTACAATGTTAACTATTAGCTTAAATATTCTACAAACAGTAAAAACCTACAAACACATGAATGTACATCAAAATTGTAAGTAACAGCAGAATATGAGTTTAAATTGGAGACTTCTGGAAAAAGGAGATCTGATAAGTTTTATTGGGAAAGGCGTGAGCAAAAGACTTCAAGATATATCTCTTTTCACTATTACATCAACTACTGGGGCTAAGAGACCATTCTTATTTTCTAGTGATTATAAGAAAATGTACAGTTCAGCTAAAATATATACGGAACCATCATAAAACTACCAGCATCATATTTTAGCACACAAGAAAAATTATATTATTCTTCTCCCAGACTAACAGAATAGGGAGGAATGGGATAGTGGCGGTGGGGAAGGCTGAAATGGAAGCATTCAGTTATTATGAAATAATCATTATGTCAAATGAATAGATACATTTACCTGAACCTTTCCCATTCTCATGCCCTAGAGGTGTGTGATTATCTTATAATCTTTGCTGCTTCCCAGAGAAACACATTTTGCTTCATGATACAATTTTTTAAAAGTGAAAAACGTATTACCAGAGGTGCTTGTTAAATTGATGGTGATGACTTAAATTAACTCACATTTGTCACTAAACTCCAAGGGTCATCAATTATTGAGCACAAAAAGACATATTTTCTACGTGAGAGGAAACATAAAATGCAGAAAAAGTGAGAGAACCATTAATTAAACTTTATATGAAAGAAGACAGAGCTATTAGAAATGCTTATGATTTCGCCTTTCTTGGGAATGGGGTCCTTATTCAGAAAGACAAAGCATCAAAGACAGGCGAAAAATGTAAAATGGTTTACTTATATTTGCCCAACTGCCTTGCCAACAAAAAGTCATTATTCTGTAATAATCATTGTGCCCCAGTGAACAGTAAAATTATTTTTAACAATTCATTTGTTTTACAATCTCTAAAACAGAATGGCTCTAATAAAATTACTGTACAGTCACCTGATCACCTACCTTTAAATCAGTCCTTTATCTGGAGTACTACGTCCCCTTTAAATATAGCCATCTAAAGTAAAATACTTTCAATATATTGAATCCATTCTTACCATTTTATTCTTTGCTAGCTATATATTCTCTTAAGATAAACTGAGATAACTAAAATGTTTCTTGATGAGTTTACCAACACATAGGTAAATAAACACAGAGGATTTAAATATTCTATTGAGAGATACTTTTCAAGCTTTTTTCTTACCTTGGTAGGAAATCAGAAACTGTATGGTTAACATTCCTGAAGGGAATAATTATTAGTCTTATCATTGGCTTTCCACCAATAAATTGTAAATATGAACTCTTAATGAAGATGTTCATTAAGAGTTCAAAAAACAACACATAGCATAAATCAAGAATACCTAAGTACTTAAATTATGATAAGGGTTTAAGGGGCAATTCTTAACTTTAACACCAAATTTTATGCCCAATACTGTGCAAGGCAGTGTATAGAAGGCAGGATAGGGTAGAATACATGGATCCTGTCATCAAGAGAAGATAAATTCTCTTAGAAAGCATCTGTAATATGTCAGGCACTGCTGCAGGGCAATGGGTAACAAAGCTAAAATAAAGACAATCCCAGCAGCCAAAAAGCCAGAGACTAGATAAAATAAAGGTAGTAACAAGAGGACATCATATGGTCTATGACAGAGATAGCTACATAAATCTGCTGAAACACAGAGGAGAGACTGTCAGGTGAAGCTGGAGAGGCCCAAAAGAGGGTGGCATCTTAACTAACAGGATGGTTAAAAAAATAAATTTAAAAAAAAAAAAGGTATAATTAGAGAGGCAAAAGATTTTGATTCTCCAAAGTCAGTTAAAGTGTATAAAGAAAATGCATTTAATGTCACCTTGCAGGGTGCCCTACATTTGGATGTCGATGACAGGGGAGGGCACTTAATTGGGAGAATGGCATATAGAAATCCATATGCTGGTGGAAATAGAGAAGGTTACTGGATATGAAACACATTACAGAGACAATGTAATTCATCAGCTGATTTTAATATGAAAAAAAGGAGGAGAGAGAGATTGTGATGAAAGTTGAGTCAATTCCAATTACAAAGTTTCCAGCTAATTCCAACAACAACATTTCCTAAAATCACTGATTAGTCTGTAAAAGGTATTATAGTCTCCCAAAGCAACTCCTCTTATATAACGTGCTGCAGTTTTTCTATGGAGAAAAACAAAATCAATTTAGCATTTTCTGTGACTGCAAGAAAGTCTTTAAACCAAGTAAATTCACTTTCCTTTCTGCTGATTGTACCTGCTAGTCGATTATCCTTATCCCATAATAGGCAGTTCTGGCTTTTGGGCTAAGATCGTTTCCTGGAAACCACTTCATAAAACAAGATAGCTGTAAAGGGGATTATACTTTCTCATAGTTATATTATAATTTTGGTAGAGTTTTTGACATCAATAAATTACAACAATATCAACCATGTGTTATTAAAATAAAAGAAAAATGTAAATATGCAATCAGCATAAATATAATCATTTTGAGCAGTAAGATTATATTCTAAGTCCTCTCCTAGGATTTTCCTACTGAGGAAACCTTAGAAAGTATCTAAAATGGATCAACATATTTTCTGGGATGAGAAAAGTGACACATATAGCTTAAATAGAATTCCAAATGCTTCATTAAATTAGTGACAAATAAAAATTTAACTGAGTTCTACTGGCTCAAAGGTCAAGGTATTTTACAATCTATTATACTTCAACCCCTAACATTAGGAAGACACATACAGTGACCATAACTAATTAGTACACATTGAATATAAAAGGAGAGTCAATGTATTACAAAGTAAGCATATTCCATTAAAACTGCAATTCCACCATATTCAATTCCAAGCATTTTCCATATACAATACAGATACTAGCAATGTCAGAAACATCAATTATATATGCGTCTTTAGATAATGTACAATACGCAGCATCCAGTAGTCTTAACTTTTAGAATGTATTTTTGCAAATTTTTCAGATAGTACACATTTCTTCAAAATGCTATTCAGAAAATTTTAATTTATTTCTCAGCCAAAACCATCTCAGGAATCATTCTGTTTAAATAGACCAAGCATACTATTTGGTTAAGGAGACATCAGTGTACCAATCAGGCATTAAGAGACCAATGCTTTGTTTTTAGCTGCACATATGCTGTATAAAAGGAGAGGGCAGAACTGGATAGCTAAGGTCTTAAAAAAAAAATCTTAAAAAGCTATGATTCCGACTACTTCGACTGTCCACTTTGGGCAAGTAAGATTTGTTTTATTTAGGTCCTTAACATCAAGAGTAGCCTTGAAGGTATTAAAAAAAAAGGATAGACAAAAGGCTATATGTGTTCTGTCATCTACCTAGGGAGGGGGATAGAGGCTGCAACCGTTTGCCTTCATAATAGTGGGAGAAATACAAACCTCAAAAAAGTCTTCTGTAGTCAATCCAAGGTAACTGAGATGGCTGGCAGAGGACCAGGTGCTAAAGAAGCCACAGCAGTTGCCAAGTCAAAAGCAAAGGAAACATGGTAGCTGACTACTCCAGAGTCAGAGCAGTGATTACTAGTTAAGTGCTTTAAACTCTGACAGGGATGGAGAGGGGACCGGCCTGGTGTCCACTGTAGACATGGTCCTCCTTGGTTCTTAAATCAAGATGAAAGCACTGCAGGGAGGTTGAAAGCAGATGATTTTATTCACCCCTATCCTGTTATCAGCTTTATAAGAGCTGTAGCTGGAAAATGGCTGATAAAACCAATGTACTAATCTCCCCTGCTATTCTTTGATCTGGTTTTCTGGCAGAAGCAGCTATTAAGTACTCAAAAAAAAGAAAGGTCTGATCAGGTGCAAATCCCTACTGGCAGCCTGGCCTAAGCTCAGAAGACCCCCTTCTCAATCAAAGTTTAAAGCATTCACAAAACCCTAGCAGCACACTGGTGTTCTCAACTTTGAAGGAGTCATTAGTCAGACTTGGCAAATTGTGATTATAGTATCTTTGGTTCTCCTCCAAGACTATAGATGCATAATCTCTGGCCAACGCTTCTGCTTGTGCCTTTAGCACATTTGACTGGTTTATTTACTTTACTTTGAAGAGTTGGAACAAGAGTTTTACTTAAAATTAACATTGAACTGAAAGGTTTATTGTGTAGTGTATCAAGAAAATTAAAAGAATTATCATATTAATAGTACTCGTTAATATAGTAATTCAGTTTCCTAAAGCAAAGATCTTAGTGTTAACTATAATGAAGTTCTGCATGACTGATTGTAACAGATTTATCCACATATGCATTAGTCATTAAAATATAGGTTAAAACCAATACAACCATCTGATCTTTGACAAACCTAACAAAAACAAGACATGGGGAAAGGATTCCCTATTTAATAAATGGTGCTGGAAAAACTGGCTAGCCATATGGAGAAAGCTGAAACTGGATTCCTTCCTTACACCTTATATAAAAATTAATTCAAGATGGATTAAAGACTTAAATGTTAGACCTAAAACCATAAAAACCCTAGAAGAAAACCTAGGCAATACCATTCAGGACACAGGCATGGGCAAGGACCTCATGACTAAAACACCAAAAGCAATGGCAACAAAAGCCAAAACTGACAAATGGGATCTAATTAAACTAAAGAGCTTCTGCACAGCAAAAGAAACTACCATCAGAGTGAACAGGCAACTTACAGAATGGGAAAAAATTTTTACAATCTACTCATCTGACAAAGGGCTAATATCCAGAATCTACAAAGAACTTAAACAAATTTACAAGAAAAAATCAAACAATCTCATCAAAAAGTGGGCAAAGGATATGAACAGATGCTTCTCAAAAGAAGACATTTATGCAGCCAACAGACACGTGAAAAAATGCTCAGCATCACTGGCCCTCAGAGAAATGCAAATCAAAACCTCAATGAGATGCCATCTCACACCAGTTAGAATGGCGATCATTAAAAAGTCAGGAAACAACAGGTGCTGGAGAGGATGTAGAGAAATAGGAATGCTTTTACACTGTTGGTGGGACTGTAAACTAGTTCAACCATTGTGGAAGACAGTGTGGTGATTCCTCAAGGATCTAGAACTAGAAATACCATTTGACCCAGCCATCCCATTACTGAGCATATACCCGAAGGATTATTAATCATGCTGCTATAAAGACACACGGACACGTATGTTTATTGTGGCACTATTCACAATAGCAAAGACTTGGAACCAACCCAAATGTCCATCAATGATAGACTGGATTAAGAAAATGTGGCACATATACACCATTGAATACTATGCAGCTATAAAAAAGGATGAGTTCATGTCCTTTGTAGGGACATGGATGAAGCTAGAAACCATCATTCTGACTATCGCAAGGATAGAAAACCAAACACTGCATGTTCTCACTCATAGGTAGGAATTGAACAATGAGAACACTTGGACACAGGGTGGGGAACAGCACACACTGGGGCCTGTCCTGTCGCGGGGTCGGGGGAGTGGGGAGGGATAGCATTAGGAGAAATACCTAATGTAAATGATGAGTTAATGGGTGCAGCACACCAATATGGCACATGTATACATATGTAACAAACCTGCACTTTGTGCACATGTACCCTAGAACTTAAAGTATAATAAAAAAAGAAAAAAAAAGATGGACTTTATTTTGTATAACTATCAACTGTTTACAGAAAGCAGTGACACTTAATCTTTGCAAAGTCCTATACCCATTCTATGAAAAGCATCTATCCTCCTTCCTATGTAAAATTGAGTTTACAAGCCTTTGAAGCTCAAAACTAAACAACCTACTGAGATCCACTGTCCCCACATTATGAACCCGAATCTCCAAAACTCCATCAGACATACAGTCTAAGATGCAACATCTTCTGCTACAATCACCTCAAGATTGAACTCCAGACGAAAACGTGTAAGTGTCCTGGGCCAAGAGTCCTTTCATTTGAGATTCAGGAATGAAATGTCTAGGGTTATCTCCATTGAGTACACTCATGGACTTCCTAATAAGAAACATTCCAGTAAAGGATACATGGAAAATTAGTCAGTGCATAAGTCGCAATTTATCACTGTAATGTCTCAAAAGCACCTGAATAGTATGAATTTTACATGCTTTCTCCTCACTATCAAAATCAAACAGTTAGTTGTTCAGCAAGCAAAATGAAAACTCTTATAAAGTTATACTCCCCCTTTTCACCAAATACATACATACAGAGATAAGCGATGTGCCTTTTTATTATTAATGAACATATTTCATTGAATTTATTAATATGGTAAGAGTGAAAACAACAGAATCTACTAGACTAACAGCCCTAAAGGATCAAGACTCTGTTATGCAAGGTACAGATTTTTCCTCTTCAAAATATTTAAATTATACCTTTACAATATGATTAAAATGAATATTTGCCAATAGAATAGCAAGTCTAAATAATGACCCACCACTTCAAAGAAACAATAGGTTTTAAAATTATAACACTAAATTATTGTTGCTTTGTTGTTACTGCCTTAAATTTCCTGAAAGAACTGCATTCCTACAACACAGAATACAGGGTTTACTTGCTCTGCCTAGAATTTTTCCCTGACAAACTAAATTCCATCTTCCAGCACTTAAAAACCCTCACATTCTCTAAAATTCAGAAAACTACAAATATAAACCAGTGTTTTGCTAAGTCTATTATGGGCCTATGAAGACAACTTAGTAATTATTAAAAACATACTGTGAAAATACTATTGAGGGCATTTTAAAATTTACTATGCGTCTCATAATAAACTACTTTCCGGGATCTACAATTTCATGAATTAAATTTAAAATTATATCACAGCTCCTTGAGCAAATGATCTACAGAAGCAATCATCAGCATTCACACCCAGATTTAAAAACTCAGGTTGTTCCATTGATCACTATATAAATAAACTTAAAAGTATTTTTACTCTGTATCCAAACAAATGGTTTAGAAATGCCTCCAAAAAGTGACAAGTATGTTGTCTCAATATTTAATTTGTAGACCAGATTACAGGAGAGTACAAACTGAAATGGTGAAAGTCTGGCTAAAATTAATGTCTGTTTGAACCATTTTAGATTATCAAGAAAAAATTCAGAAGACAAATTTCTGGCCTCAGCTAACCAAAAAAACAATATAAATTAAAATGGCCTTTTTGGTGCTGGTGAGGTCTGATAACTAAAATCATTCAATAGAATCCTGTTTGAAAACACCTTATAATAATATAATTCAATTATAGGATAAGCAAGTTATGCTCCTGTTTCCAAAGAGAAGAAAAAAATAAATCTGTGCGATTGCAATATACCAAATGTTAGAATGAACACTTACCATGCATATTTCCTTATACTTCACTAGCACTGTACAACACACACTTTCATTTTAATCATAACATAACACTTATGATATAGGTATCATCCCTATTTTACAGATAAAGACACAAAGCTACAGTTACTGACTCACTTGACCAAGCTTACAGGAAATGAGAGAGAATGAGGATTTGAACTCAAAGGATTCTGACTCAAGCTCTTATGTTATAAACAATGCTGCAAATATTACTTATCTATGTTTGTTTACCTTTTTCTATGTGAAGCTGAGTGTTCAGAGCCCTGATATGTTAATCTATTTACATTTATTTGTTTGGCTCTGTTTTTGTTTATTTATCTATTTATAACCAACCGGCAAACTCCATAATGTTACATGGGAAGAGTAAAAGAAAGAGTTCAAGGGCCTGTGGCAAGATTTTCATTTGGGGTCTATTTGGCTCTAAAGAAAAAAGAGCTAATCAATTGCTAACTGAAGACAGTACAGTTTAGTTTTAATAATGGTTACAGTAATGAGAGGTTAAAAGGGTCAAAACACTGAACCAGGTGTTAAAGTTCTTAATGTTCGTATTTGGGAATATACATTAGACTACTCAACTCTATTTGAAGTTATACAGGGGATAAATATGGTTCCATTGAGTAGAGGTTCTAATACTTGTTTGAATGTTCTAAAATTAGTTGGTTGTTTTCACTCATAAAATCAGAAGGCTGGACAAAATACTTTCTAAGGTCCCTTTCAGTATTAATATTTCATAAAACTAAAAGGCAAACTGTACTTGATGAATTATGTCTGACTCATAAGGTTCTTTCAAAATTTAATGTCTTATTTTTCTTTGCCACATGATATATTTTTTGCCTTTTGTTTTTTGGCAAGTCATAACCCAACCATGCCTTTTAAATGGGGGTAATATATAAACCTTGCCTACTTTATAGACTTTTCCTATCAGTATGATGATATATGTAAACTTTAAAAAAAATTTTAAGTATGCACATAAGGTAACATTAACTATTTAATTAAATATTAAGTGATTCACTATTAAAATCATGTTAAAATAGGATGTCTTAACTATAAATGCCAATATACTAAATTATTCAACAACAAGAGCATAAGATTCTACTTGAGGCAACACATATAAAGTTTTATGGTATCTGTAAGTAATTTAAATACAAATTTCTTTATTTGTCTACTAATAGCATTTACCAGGCTATTTTATTTAAGAAAGCAGAAATATTGTCTTTGACCACAGAACAGAAGTTCAAAGAAAAAATCATTCTTTTCTCATTATCCTTTTCTACTGCAGATGTTTTGTATTTGTTTATTTAGATTCTGCCTCCATTCTAGAAAAGACTAAAGGAAGCTGAAAGGATATATTAACCACAAGAAAATTCCAGAAGTGTAAAACTGGACAGAAAGAAGAAAGAAAAATGGGAATAAAGCCATCAATTAGAGCCAGAAATAAAGCTCAAACATGTTTACCATAAACATTTATATATTTCTTATTAGAGAGCCATAAACTGGCTTTAAGCTTTCTGGCAATAAATGCAGCAAGCAGCTCCCAGTGTAATGTGATTCAGTAAAACAATTCCATTGGGAGGTAAACTGATTCTTCCTTGTGCCAGTCTCTGTAGATCTGGCTTGATTTGGGGATAGATTTTTAGAAAATGAAGAAACATAGAAGGAGTTGCGTATCTTTCAAATAATGTTCCCCAAATATTATTTCTCTAAGTTGTGGGCACCGATGAGTTCAAGACTATTCCCTGAAAAAGTATACAGCATAAAATTACTCAACAGTGGCATTTAAATTTTTTTCCATGTGTCTCAACAAACCCTAAATTTTAAGAAACTGTGTATATGAGATATATATACTCTTCCAAAAATTGAGGATTTGATCTTTAAAAAGACTTGACCATGTCCCAAAGGGCCTCCCCACTTTGTAGCATGCAATACCACAGGAGCACTAGCTTAGAAAAGTTTTTCTAAATCTCTAACTGAAAGACAATGAGTGACCTCTGCCTGAAGAATCTACTCCTTATAGCTTGGCACAACAGTGTCAGTCTGAAAGAAAAAAAAAAAAGTCTCACTAACATGAAAACAGCTGTCTACTCAAGTTCATATAGAAAGTAATTCAATAAAACAAACATTGAACGTTTAACTTGGAGCTAAGCTTATAAAAACTACCTATTAAGTATAAACCAAGGTAATTTGCAGAACGGGTCTTTTAAATAAAAGTCAGTCATAGTACATTGAACCAAATAAAATAACATTACTTGTACAAGTAGTTATCAATTCATGCTGCTGTTAGATTGAGATAAAATACGAAACTGTCATAAGAAAATGATTGTCTTTTGTCCTTTATTAGGGAACAGGCATGCAAGAGCTCTGTCAAAACACTGAGAATTAAGTTAAAGAGAAGAGAGGTCAGAAAATAATCATATGTTACTCTAATGCAATATGTGACCTGTTCTCCCAAAACAATATTCCTGCTGACCCTGACTCTCGAAACAGTAATACAGAGGCAGATTCTGAAAGGAGATCAATACCTGGGGTGGGAAGTCCATGTTGAGCTTTCATCTCCTGGCCAAAGAAGTGAAGGTTGGGGAAAGGACGCATATTAATTTATGTGAGGTTAGACTAACATTTTAACATGATTTATGAATCGACCTCAGCAAATGGCTTAGGTTTGAATAGCTGTCTTGAATTAATTCTAGTCTTCTAGTCCAAACAAAGAATATCCTAAGGTATGGAGAAAATTTGCAGAAGTACCTGGCCCATCTGAGGTACTTAAAACTGTTTGTTGAATGAGGGGCTGAATAATCTAATTTGCTATTTGCTAATACTGACAAAAATGGGCATGATATGAGAACATGAGAACAAATACAGTCCAAATATTTTTTAAATGGAATAAATTGAGTTTGTTTTAAAAGAAAAAACCTACAAATCAGTGTTTCCAAATTATTGGTGAAATTCTATTGACATTTTAAATGAATACTTTCTGGCTCTTTTCCCAAAAAAGCTAGTAGTACCATAAAAATAGGTAAAGGAAACAATGCAGGTGTTTTTGTGTTTTTTATTTATTTATTTATTTATTTATTTATTTATTTATTTATTTATTTATTTGAGACGGAGTCTCGCACTGTAGCCTGGGCTGGAGTGCAATGGCGTGATCTTAGCTTCTTGCAACCTCCGCTTCCTGGGTTCATGCGATTCTCCTGCCTCAGCCTCCCAAGTAGCTGGGATTACAGGTGCACACCACCACGCCCAGGTAATTTTTTGTATTTTTAGTAGAGACAGTGTTTCACTCTGTTTGCCAGACTGGTCTTGAAATCCCGACTTTGTGATCTGCCCACCTTGGCCTCCCAAAGTGCTGGGATTACAGGCGTGAGCCACTGCACCTGGCCAGGTCTTAATATGTCTACATTTCAATAAAGCATTTGAAAGAATCTCTCACCCTCCACTTATGGGCAAGGTGCAGAAATGAGAGCTGGATAATAACAAAGTAATGTCACTTTATGACTAGTCTAACCTCTATACTGGAAAAAAATTGACTAATGCATTGTTATCAACCAGAAAGATGCCATCCTGCACAAGGCCACTGGGCTTGGTCTTTAGATTTAGTCTACTTATTATTTAATATTATTATCAAACACTTGAAAGATAACATAACTAACTAATACTTCTCAAACACACAAGACTATAAAAAACATCGAATGCACTGTCTGAAAAACTTACTATAAAAAATTCTTAACAGGCTATGATAATGAGACACATCCAATAAGATAAAATGTATTAGAGACAATGTTCAAGTTCGGTTCAAATACCAACCTCCTCATTTCAGGTCAGTGCTCTTGTTACACTCCAACACATTCAGACATCAAAAGAGAGATGATTTTTAATCAGTAATAACAGTCCAGGATGGGGTCCTGAGCAAAGAGGCCAGGGATGGGGGTAGAATCCAGACTGGTTTGATCTGGTCTTTAGTTCACAAAGTGCTGTGTGTTTAGCTTTCCTACTCAGTCATTAATCACTCTGAGATACAGCCTAAGCACTTATGTAGAGGCTCAGACTGTGAGCCATTAGAAGTTGACTGTAACAGAGCTGGAAATCATACAAATCCCTGGGAGAACAAGTCCCCCAAATTTCTACTGAGGTTAAATTAAAAAAAAAAAAAAAGATGTCTGGAAAAATTGTTTAGCATGTATGCCTGTTCTGTGAATGTGTTACAGCTTGATTCTAATTAACAACAACAAAAAATTAACATAAGTCAGCCCCTAGATTAAGAGAAGTTTAAAAAAATATTGATTTGTGATGTTTAAGAAAATGGAAAAACAACAGGCACTCCAGCATTAGATACCTTTAATTAAAAACACAAAATAACTGGACTCATTCCCCAATGAATGGCTTTCCTCAGCTAACTGCAGAATTGCTTATCAGGTAAATCTGTTATGGCAGCAGCTACTTCAACAGGGATCAATGAAGTTGGAAGCCAAGTAGACATATACTCCAGACGTTAACCAAAGAGCCGTTCTTTTTTCCCTTTTTTAACGTGAAGCCACTGGAAGAAAACACTCTTACCAAGTGTCTTTTGAAGCATTATTTCAGAAAGTTAGGCTTAATGGGGAATGCAAATAATGTATCCCCAAAGTGAAGATTAAAATATTATCTATTTTAATTTTGACAAAAGTAGCCATACAATTTTTGCTACATGTTTACCTCCAAAATTTTAATGTACTGAGTGGAAGAAAGTATTCGTGGATCACAGCTAACGCCCTTATTATTAACAACTCCTCACATTCCATCCCAAGCCATTTCCCATCTCAATGACAGCATATTTATAAATAATAGTTGCCATCAGCCTGGAAAAGCCTATCATCAGGCAGTAAAGTCTTTGTTAATCACTGACTTACTAGAACAGACCCATTGGACATGCATGTGTGTATATGAATTGTGTTAAGGGTTTTTGATGTTTTCCTTTATTAGCATCAATTTTTTAAATTCATGCATGTATGAATAATATCAACAGAAACAAAATTAACCTCTTCCCCATCTCCTAAATCTGAAAACACAGCTTGAGTTAAACTACTCTATTTCCTTATCAAACTTAATATCTCCTCCTCCAGCTCTCAACTCAAAACTCCAGGACAGCACTCATCAAGCTTCTTGGTAACCAGGTATCCTACGCCAGACTCTCCTCAGGACCTGTAAAGTTAGGGACAGAGTTCTGCATACTCATCCCTGGGAGGCTGGCACTTAACACAATAATGAGCTCCTAGTAGCTTCTCAATGTCAGTGAATACATTTTAAAATACTGTTCCTATATGATCTCAGTAGCAAGAAAATTATCACTATCCTTCTCCTCCTTGTGACTATCCTATCAGGAAAGTTTATCAAAGAAAATACTATTATCTAATAACACAGAAGCTTCAAAGGTAACTTGCATGATGCTTTCAGAAAGCAACTTAACAATACAGCCCATTGGCCATACTTTCTGTGTTCAAAAGGCACCTTTGG
This sequence comes from Homo sapiens, assembly GCF_000001405.40. Taxonomy (NCBI): domain Eukaryota; kingdom Metazoa; phylum Chordata; class Mammalia; order Primates; family Hominidae; genus Homo; species Homo sapiens. The sequence continues at coordinate 629,900 of NT_187556.1, forward strand.
GAAATTAAGTTTATGGAAATAATATAAAATGTGTTTTTAAAGATATATATAAAATTTAAGAGAAAAAGTATGGAATCATTAGGAGAATAACTTGGTCAACTATAATAATTTCTTAAGCATATGTTCCAGGCTTTGAAAATTATGTTCACAAAAACAATATCAAAATAAAGTGGGAAAACATATTCAATTAAAACATTTAAATTTTCAAACAGAATATGTTAGAGCACACACAGTATGTGAAACATATATTTAGAAAAATCTGGAAAATGCTAATAAATTAATTGTAGTTATGTTAGATGTTTGGGACTTCGAATATTTTTAAAGTCTATTTTTATACTTTTTGTAGCATATTCTTTGAGTAATTATTTTTAAAAAAATAACTTCCCAGTTAATCGAATCAAACTTTTTAGGAAAAAAAAATCTAGGTGATAGTGATTTCTTATTTTGACCCTTTAAGAAGATTATAGAAGAGAAAGAAATCTGTATTTGCAAACATTGGGTCATATTATAGCACAAAGCAGTAACTATTTCTCTACATCAGTACAGAAAGGCAGTTTGATATCCTGCTGACCCCTGTAACATGATCCACTCTGCTGAACCCTGCAGAGCAGGTCAGGAATCAAAGGGCAGGCCAAGACCAAGCAGGCAAGGCCAGTATCTGAGAACAGGGCCAGCCAGATGTGGACTTCTCCAAATAAAGCGAAGGCAGGAGGTGCTGATTGAGCTTTAGGGTCTAATGGTAAAGAAAACAATTTTTAGGTTTCACTTATCCAAAAATGATCTGTATCTTACGCATATTTTAGGAAGAATATAATTATCCTTCCCGCACTCCTTTTTCTCCCCTCAAATATTCCTCCAAATGAATGTGAAAGGGGCAAAGGCTGAAGGAAGAGAGTTCAGGAGCCAACCAGGGAGTTTAAGTTGATAAGTTAGTTTTCCCATTGTTTCACTTTTATCACCCTATTCTCTGTCTTAGAAACCTCCAAGAACACCCCTATGCCTGGCACTCAGTAGTCTAGAATCAGGGACTGTATACATATTTTGTTACTTTCCATAAATCCTTCCCTGGAAGCAGAACTGTACCTCGGTGATTAGAGAACTTCCTATCTTCCTGGAGCCCCCTGTGCCTAGGAATTAAAACCCCCTATCTCTGCACTTACCATCCCACCAATTCCAAACCCACTCTACATCCCTCTCTCTTGGAATCCTAATAGAAGGCAGAGAGGTGCAAGCCAGTGGCCATATACTTATACACAAACTCAAGTTTCTTTCAACTTCCATGAATCCCTATCAGAATTAATCTATCTTTACGTATTTAGCTGAAATAGGAGTTCATGAGCAGCTGCAGTTTTTGACATGTTCAACAGCTAAAAGAAATTAAAGGGAAGGTAAAGAGAGAAAAGCAACATGGACTCATTGAGAGAAAAAAAAAGAAGGAAGTGATAGCATAAGATTAGCAAAGAACTGATTCTCTAGCTTTTCTTTTCTGCTGCCTGGTTTATTTGTGTTTTTCCCCAGTGAATCCATATGCTACGGTGGGGGAAACACTACTAAAGCATCTTAGGACTATACATGGCTGTTGACTGAAAAGAGTGAAGCTCCCTCCCTAAAGGAGACAACTCTTCAGGGTGTTTGCTTTTGTAGAAAAGGCAATGCAGCTAATCCACATCAAACTCTGCAAAAGCATAAAATACCTGACTAGATTTCCACAAATATTATCAGTATATAAACATAAAAGTACTAATTATATAAGTCAATCAAGCTATTATATACATGTAGATGAGTCACACACAAGCCAGAGGAGCTTGCTATACTTTTTAAATAACGCTATCAAGAATCTGAGTTTGTCACTTGCTGAAATCCCAGAAGTTCAGTAGCTCACTGCTCCCTGTCATTCCCCAAGAGGCAAGATAACGAAAACAAGCTATCCAACAGAGGTTTAATGTGCAAATCTGGAATAATTCTTTAAACACCAGAAGTTGATAAAACCTGCTTCACAATTGCAATTTTATGCTACAGGCATGTTCATATTTTTGCCAAGGGATTCGGTTTACATCAATCTCTACAAATTTATGTATTCAGTGTATAAACATTTTAACATAATAATAATCCTTTATCATAATAGAGAGACAGCATGGTCTAGTGAATTGTGTGCTGAATACCCTATCCAGCCCTATCTATCTCATAGGGATTCTGTAAAGATTAATTAGTAGATACCCCCAGAAAGCACTGTGAGCTTTTTTGCAAAAACAGTGTACAAACATCACTTATTTATCATACCACAACTTGTGAGATAAAGAGGCAATAATATAGCTATAAGTGTACAAAACGGAATGGTAGTTGGGATGAAAATGAATGAGATGGCTGCAGAAAGAGATTAGAGGGCAGAATAAGTATAAAAAATATGAATATATGAGTCCTATGTGGAAAACAAGAAAGGGTGGTGCCTTCCCACAGCAGTATTGCAACAAAACACCCCCACCACAAAGGGTTAAAACAGGTCATGCTTTCCCGCAGCAAAGTGTCCTGATTTCTCCAGGAAGGTGAGGACAGGAAGAACCCAGCTTGTGTTTGACTTGTGCTCGCCCCCAAGGCTCACTCCTTTCCTGCCCTGCCTACAGAGTCCTTGGTGCACACTTGTCCTTCACAGACCACTTCCCCCAAGGGTGCCCCAATCAATTTAGAAAATGACAAGGTGACACAGAAACAAAAAGCAGAAGCTCTGAAATAGAGTCCATTCTAGTCAACAAACAAGACTCAGAAATATATATAAACCAAGGAGCAAAAGTGATTTAGGAGAGCTCAAAATACAATTAGTACATTTTTGATGTATGAGAAGAATTTCTCAGTTATAAAGCCAAATGTAAGGTAATTCTTCCTTCTCATATCTCAGAAGTAATAATGCTGGGGGAAAGAGAGGGCTTTTTAGAAAGCATGAACTTTTATATGTAAGTCATTAACACTATAAATTCCTAAACATTGTCTGGTAAATTAAATAATTTTCAATGGCCCAATCTATAAAATATGACCATTCCTAAACTATCATTTTCAGATACAAGTATACAGACCGAAAAATAATATAAATAGAAGCAATGCACATATTCATACTAAAATTAAAATCAAGAGCATTTATTATATTAAGAAAATAGGTTTAGTAGTTAGAAATAAACTGCCCTTGAAAGGAGCCACAAAGCAGCAATTTAGCCAAAGATCCACTCAATTTGTAGTATGTTATCACCAGTTCCTAAGAATCTTTCTGGTATCTATTCTTCATTTTTCTTTTGCATTGTATTTCACTTTTAGGCCATTAGCTCACTATACCTAGACTACCACAATGACCCACTAACAAGTCTGCCTGACTCCATGTGGCCTACATATGGCAAAAAATTAAATTTCCCTGAAGCAAGACTCTGAAGGTATTTATTGCAGGTTAAAATTTGAGGTTCTCTCTGTTTCTCTCTCTCTTTTTCAAAAACTGGATACAGCTCAAACTTATTAGGCTGGCATTCACAGCTCTTCACAGTCTGGCTCCATTCAGCCTCTTATGTTCTCAATTTCTGTTCCAAAACAAAGCCCAACTCCTACTCAATTTGGACTTCTGTAATTCACAGAAAATGCCCATCTCTCAATTCCCAAAGCACCTTTTAAATGCCAATGCCTGTGACTATGATGTCTCTCTCCTGCTGTCACCAGGGTAAGTACTAACAATTCAAATGCCTTTCATCCTGGTCATCTTTTCCACATTATGTAGATTTGATTTCCACCTCCATGCTCAGCACCCTGGCCCCCAGCCACCCTTCACAATCAGGGCACATATCCTGGACTAATCACATGATACTTTTCACATACTGATTTGTTTATAGATACTGACCCATGTGTGTTTGTTCTGAGAGGACAGAAATTCTCTCTTCTACAACTCGATCTCATGTGGTACCCTGCTTCAAATGTTCACTCAATGAAAAGTGTCCAATGCAAGAATGAATGTTTCTACTTTGCAGCAAAACTCCTAAAGGTTATTCTCTGTTTCACTGGAGTTTGGAAGACAAAAACAAGATGACCTCCTTTTTAAAATCTGCATGATATTTACAGAAAAGATGCATTTATAGGACATTTTTTAAAGTACATGATGTTTTATAATTAATGTTCATAATGCATACAAAGTAGGTCAGAAGCGTCACCTTCCCTGTAAAGCTAAGGAAACTAGAGTGCAAATTTCTGTAGGGCTCTACTATACAATTACTTAATAAAACTTCATGTCATTCTTACTATGCTTGACTGGGAAGTATGTGGGGTCTGTTGTCAACTTTAAAAACTTTAATTTGTTTCTGGTATTAAAGAACTGCCACCAATTAAAACTGAGTATACAGAAGTTCATTAAATACCTTAAGTCTCAAGTTATGGGCTAGCATTGTGTTACACAAAAAGAATATAAAGTTGAATGAAACAAATGGAGACCTTATTATTTCTCAGTTTACATACCAATACTCTCCTATACATACACAATATACTAAGAGGAATACTGTTGTCTTCTTACCCAAATTACACAAAAACAGATAAAAACTGACTTTTGCCATCCCTTTGCAAATGTTGTAGCAAATTCTAATGTTCTCAGGCCACGCTGGTCATGATCTGAGAATCTGAGCCAGTTATATCGAAATGTCATAGGAGGCCAGGCGTGGTGGCTTGCGCCTGTAATTCCAGCACTTTGGGAGGCCAAGGCAGGCGGGTCACCTGAGGTCAGGAGTTTGAGACCAGCCTGGCCAACATGGTGAAACCCTGTCTCTACTAAAAATACAAAAATTAGCCAGGCACGGTCACGGGTGCTTGTAATCCCAGCTACTTTGGAGGCTGAGACAGAAGAATCGCTTGAACCTGGGAGGTTTAGGTTGCAGTGAGCTGAGATTGCACCACTGCACTCCAGTCTGGGTGACAGAGCAAGACTCTGTCTAAAAAAAAAAAAAAAGGCTGGGCGTGGTGGCTCATGCCTGTAATCCCAGCACTTTGGGAGGCCAAGGCAGGTGGATCACAAGGTCAGGAGGTGGAGACCAGCCTGGCTTGGTGAAACTCCATCTTTACTAAAAATACAAAAATTAGCTGAGCATGGTGGCGTGTGCCTGCCGTCCCAGCTGCTTGGGAGGCTGAGACAGGAGAATTCCTTGAACCCGGGAGGCTTGCAATGAGCCTAGATTGTGACACTGCACTGTTGCCTGGGCAACAGAGTAATACGCTGTCTCAAAAAAAAGTCTCCAAAATAAATAAATAAATAAATAAGAAAGAAATGTCATAGGAAAGTTAGAAATATTGAGGTCATTCTTTATGACCTCAATCCTTAATCCTGGGCACCAGAAAGTTCTACTTAATCTTATGACTCCTTCCCCTGCCTTGTTCGAACCGTGATCCACGAGCCCTCTGGAAGATCCTACTGTTGTTAAATCCCTTTCTGTACGGGACCCAGAATCACCTACTTTTAAAAGCTGTTGTCTCTGTAACCAAACCCAGGGTAAAGACTGGGCTCTTGCCCTGCCTCTATTATGCACCCTCCCCACAGCAGCCAGTGGTGATCCTGTCTTTTTTCTCTAACTGCTTTTAAAATTTTCTCCTAACACCAGTATTCAGCCACTCTACTAGGTGACGTCATGGTGTTGTTTTCTTTACATTTACTCTGCTTGGGGTTCATTGTGCTCTTCGAACTGTGCGTTTATAGTTTTCATCAAATTTAGAAAATATTTGGCCATTACTTTTCCAAATATTTTTGTTCTCCTTCTCTTTTGCTGTGAAACCCAATTACATGTCAGACTACTTGATACTGCCCCACAGTGCACTGAGCTTATATTAATCTTTTTTCACATTTTTTTCTGTTTGTGTTTCATTTTCAATAATTTCTATTGCTATGATTTGTATAGGAACTATCTCTAGAAGTTCCATTTGGTTCATTTGTGTACCTTCCATTTCTCTCCTTATTATGTTCATATTTTCCTCTCTCTTGAGCACACAGCACATATTTTTAATAGCTGTTTAACATCTTTGCTAGTCCGGTCATCTCTACCTTTTGCAGGTATGTTTCCATGGATTGTTTCCCACCACTAGCTACAGTTCATGTTATTCTGCTTCTTTGCACGCAGATTTTATATTGTTTGATGCTGGATATTGTTGTATTCCTTTAAAGAATATCAAGCTTTTGAGGGGTGCACACTGTTATGTGTAAATTAATCTAATTCTCACAAAGATTAATTTAAAGCTTTGTTAGTGTAGCCTTCAGAGTAAAGCCAATTTAGTCCCACTAATAAGGCAGTATCTTTTTGAACACTCTATCCAATACTTTGTGTATTATGAAGGTTTTCTAGCCTGGCTGATGGGAGTGCCAACTAGTTCCCAGATCTGGGTGAATTTTGAGAATTTTTTTGTCCTACTGCTTTTCAGTGGATTTCTATCCTGCCTCTTAAAGTTTTACCTGATATATATTCCAATTTGAAATGATCCCTCTGTTAATCTCTGGAGGTGTTTCTTTCTGTGCATCTTCTTTCTCTCCAGTTCCTTGCCCTACAATGTCTCACTGCCTCAGCTTCCCCAGCTCTGATCTCAGTCTCCTCCCATCAAGTGAAAGTGCTAGATCCTATTTAGGTTCCTCTCCCTCTGCCAGGCCCAGATACTACCAAGAGGCTGTGAATTGGGATGAACGTAGGGGGCACCTCATTTGTTTCTCATCTATCAGGAATAGCAGTACTGTCTTCCCTGAAGACCATGTCCGAAAACTCTTGCTCAGAAAGACAACTGCAGTGGTTATCTTTCTAACAGAGCTGAATCCCATGCCCTTTTATCCTCTGTTTCATGTATTCCACATTTTCATGAGCAAATCTTTCATGAGCAAAAGCAGAGTTTCTCCCAAGCGTGATGATAATCCAAAACCTCCTTTCACTGTCTGCTCTTTCACCTCAGAGGGACTTCCAAACTTTTATCTACCTTCAACCTCACAGTTGATCATCTAAGTTCCTCTTACCTGTAAATTCAACATCACAAACCACAGTATAGCCACTTTTTGGTTTCAAACTTTATCAAGACAAATCATCAAAACTAGACACCATTGCCCTTAACTTCTTGTCACCAAGCTAAAAACCTCTGTGCATCCTCTCTATTGTTACTTCCTTTCCGTCATTCTTGGAAGATGAGCTGACGTTAGCTGTTCAGGGCCAACTCTAAGCATTTGACTATTTGCTTTTCCTGGATCTCATTCCGTCTGTCATCAATTTCTTCTGTATCTTTAACATCCCCTTTCTATTTACTCCTTTCCATTAGCCTTTTATAAATATGCTCAAGTAGTTTCTTTCATTTTTTAAAAAGCCTTCTGATCATGATTATCCTGTGGCTACTGTCCAAACATTCTCTTCTTATCCAATTTTCTACTCCCTACCTACTTTCTATTTTTTATCATCTCCAACTAACTTGTCTTCCCACTGAGATATGGCTTCTTCACTCAAATCTCTACTGGAGGCTTTCTCATTGAAGCAGACTGTATAATTAAATACAAAGATTATTCTTCAGATTTCTGGCTCTGTGATAGCTTGCTTCTTGACACTTGACTACACTAGCTTTCACAAAACTGAAAGTTATTTCACTGTATACTCGTTGGCTGTTCTCATTTTGGGGGTTCTTTGTATTTCTTTCATAAATATGGATGCTATCCAAGATTCGTTTCTTGTCATACACACATGGCTTTCAGCACATTAAATACTAAATTTTATATCAGTTAATTCACAGATTTTTTTGAAGTCTACATCTATACGCTTTGGATATAATAATACAAAAGTGAATCTAGATTATTTCCCCATTTCATGTGAAAATATCTCTATCTGCATACTCAATTTTGTATTGAGAACTTTCTAAAATAATCATTTTCAATTTGTGTGCTGAAGAATCCTAGAATTTCCATAGTGATGCTTTAAGAATGCTCTACTTTAGAAGAGTGTGGAATACATGAAACAGAGGATAAAAGGGCATGGGATTCAGCTCTGTTAGAAATCAAACCAAAGATTTTAGACATCTGGTTCTGCTTTTGATGTTAGAATTACAAGTAAGATACCCCTCAAATAAAAATGATGAAACAAGAACATTTGAAACCTACTATATTAAATTACAAATACTTTTAGGAAAAAACTGTTTATTCATCCTCATATGCTTGAAATACTCTCCCCCTTCACACTCTATAGTCAGTTAACATTAAGTATATGTTATATAATTTAGTGGAACCTAGCTTTGAAAACTGAGAATTCCTTAAAAATTAGCAAATACCACTTTAGCACTTTTAAATTTAAAAGTATGAAATACCTTCTCTTGGTATAATTGTTTCCTCAAGCTCCTGACCTTTCTTCTTTCTTATTACTGCATTGGCTTTCTTCCATTTTCCATCTGAATCCCATGTTCAGCAATCCATTCTTACTTCCACCAAATCTATGGTCACTATGGCTACAGCGTGCACCAGTGCTTCTTGAAGTGGTGTCTCTGAACTACTTGCATTAGACCCATCTAAAATATATATTATAAATTAACATTTCTAAGTTCTACTAAAGATATGGAAAGTCATCATTTCTGAGTGGTAGGGCCCTTGGACCTGCATGTTTGAAAAGCATACCAGGTGATTCTTAAAGACTCTGACATTATAAACCACTAGAATGGACTTGAAATTCTTGTTCACAGCAAAGTTTTAGAAGCAGTGTCTGTTTCAGGGTCCAGAAATGTCCAATTATATTGTCTTACTAAGATTTCAATCATTATTAACACTACACCAAATACAATTTGTTATATGTGCTATTCTTCAAGAAAATGAGCCACAAATCAAATTTATAAAATCTAAGTACAGTCTTAGTTCAAAGTATTGAAATAGAATGTCTGACTTACAGTTTAAATGACCTAAAGGTCAAATTTCTTTAACAATGTATTTGATTCTCTATTGTTGTTCAATCAATGCAATGACATTAAACCTCTTTAAAAAATCATATTTTTAATAAAGAGCAATTGATCCTGTGGGATACCTTTTAAATAACATATTTGAAGGTTTTAGTGAGACATCTCTAGGCTCTTTTTCCTCCTTTTAAAGTCTTAGCCTCTTAACACATAGATAAATACAGAAAATTTGACCTTTGCCACCGTAATATACTTTATGGAGATGAAATAAGTTTCAGAAACTTATTCTAGATTCCTATATCAAAGCAATCTGAGTTTAAACATGATGCAAATTGTTAGGTATTTCATACTACCATAATTCAAGGACAATTTCAAGGATGTGTCAAACAATATTATTAATTTAACACTTTGTTTTTCATGCCTTATATAATAATGAAGTATCTTTGCACTGCATAAATGTCATGTGGCAAAAAATGGCACTACATTTAGTAACTTCAGGACAGTATTATTAAAAGACACTTGATTTGTGAAGCAGTAACACAATCAGATGGAAAACCATTCCATTTTTACAATTTTCAAAACTGAAAAATAGCCAGCTAAACTGACTGAACAAAGATGGGAAACAACCAAAATCTCCCTATGAATCTTGTTCAGATGCGCTTCTTTGGTTAGAAAGGCACACAAGTTTTGATATCTACTCTATGGTTACAATTTGCTTCACTTCAAATAACAGTGCTTTTGAGGGTAGATTTGCATTCTGGGATAAAGAAAAATGTTTACGCATTACCACTTAAAACTGACATTTTCTACCACTAAGCAGACTTTGTCAGTATTTGGAGAGCTAGCATCCAAAAAAACCCACAAAGATATGCTTAACTGCACATGTGAAGAAAGCCAAATTAACCCCATTATTTCTATAGCACTGGTTCTCAAACTGTGGTCACAGACCAAAGCCATCAGTATCCACTGATGACATACACTGATGACTTGTTAAAAATGCAAATTCTCAGGTCTTTCCCCAGTCCTACCGTGTCAGAAATCCTTGGTATGGGGCTCAGAGATTTCAGTTTACCAAGTACTCCAGGCATTCATCAGAATACCTCCTCAGGCTTGGGAAACCCTGGTGTAGAGATTAGGGGAACAGGGGCCAGTTCTCTAGGATAGAGAACTGGAGCTGCTTTAAAGGATTCTACACATTAGCAATTTAATTTTTTAAGCTTATTTAAACTTATACCCTGTATGTTTATCAGTGTAAAAGCAACATACTGAATGAAACTCTTAATCATTGAAAAATATCTGAAGATTGATTTTAAAAATAGAGGATAACTATAAGCCAAAAACTAAGGGTGTAATAGGAAAAGCAATGCAGGAAACAACATCAGATAACACTTATTGAATTCTGACTATATGCCTGGTATTAAACAAGGCATTTAATATACTTTATCTTTTTTTTGCTGTTAATCTTCAGAACAGTCTCATTTTATAAATAAGGAAAGAAATTAAAAGATAATGTAGTAGACAAAATGGCTTCTTGAAAAATGCCTACATATGAATCTCCAGAATGTGGGAATGCTGTTACATGGCAAGGAGGAATTAAGGTTACCAGTCAGGTGACCTTGAAATGTGACATTAACCTTGGATTACCCAGGTGGGTTCAATGTAATCATAAGAGTCTTTAAAAGTAAAAGAGAAAAATAAGACTCCGAAGCAATGTAGCTACAGAAGAGGTCAGAGGGATTCAATGGGAGAAGGGCTCAACCCTGCTGTCGCTGGTCTTGAAGACAGAAGGGGCCATAAGCTAAGGAAGGTGGGTAGATGGCCTTCTGAGGCTACAAAAGCCAAGATTCTTTCCTGGAGCCTCTAAAAGGGAACACATTCCTGCCAACACCTTGATTTTAGACCAATGAGACCCATGTCAGGCTACTGACCTAGAACTGTAAGATTATAAATGTAATTTTAAGCCACTAAGTTTTTGGCAATTTGTTATGGGATAAATTAGAAAACTAATACTATAAGTTACGTGTCCAAGATCACAATACTAGTAAGGAACTGAGTTATAATTTGAACTCAGATTCAAAATCCCTGTACTTTCATTGGTCCATGTTGTTTTGCAATCAATACCCATTGATACCAAATAATTTAGCAGCTCTTACAGCACAGTGATATTTCTCCCACTGCTGTGGTTATAATGAGCAATCTCTTCAGGAGTACTATACCCTTTCTCAACTGGGATCACCTCCATCAGTCCTTTACCTGCATCAAGCTTGCATATGCAAACTTATGTTGTGTTTGTTTGGCATGGTGTTTTAACACAATACATTCTCAATTTCTCTTGCTCTGCCATTTTCTGTGTTCTTACAGTCATCCCTGTTCACATATTTATGCTACAGTGTGGCCCTGGTAGGCATTTGTTTTTAACTACTCTTGTTGTAGAAAAAGGGCAAAGTTCTCTCACCACAACTTTTAACTCCTTTAACCAATTGAAGAAAAACCTACAGTTTTAGAAGTTCACGCTAATGCAATATATCATGAAAGAGAAATAAAATATGCCACTGTTAGAAATGAAAAGATAAATATGGCATTCTTTGCAGAAGGTATCATCAGCTACCAATAAAAAACTATTTTAATTAAATAAATCCGTAGGTATCAATAAGATAGATTACTATATATCACATGGACTTGTAAAAAGCAATTGAGGATACCCAAAGAAAAATTATTTTGCTCATAGAAAAATAAAACAAATATCAGTAAAACTTACATGAATAAGTTTTAGATAATTCTGTATTGCTGACTTCCTGATTGTATTCCACATATTTCTCATGGAAATTATGCCATATATTGTAAACATAAATCTTCTCATAGTATTTATTTAGAAAAGTCCAAATGCATTTTTTAAAAAGACTTTGAAGAATACTGACCTAGATGAATATTTTTAAAATATATTAAATAACAATCCCATTGCTATTCTAATTGCAATTTTATCAAAACTAAAAATTAATATGTGAATAAATTAGAGCATAATGTATTTTCCCTTTGGAAATACTGGTTTCTATTTCAGATATTATTTTAGATTTATTTTCCCCAGGCATCAGACACAAAGAAATATAACTCCCAGAACATTTCTTTCACAACTCGGTGGATTTATATGTGTTATTTTCTCTGTCATGACCTTCCTCCTCTTTTCCTAAAAATAGGATGCAGTTCATAGGGCATCCGTCCTATGAATTCTTTCTTTGCCAGTCTCAGGTAATAGATAATCCTACTCTGTGTTAACTAGTACATTGACATATATCCATTATAGTATTTGAATTTTAATGTAATTATTTATTGACTAATTACTTATAATTATTTTCACCCCATACAAGACAGAAGCTAGACAAGCGCAACAGCTGTGGGTAATTTATATTTTTATTCCAACACCTAAATGAATGCCTATCTTGCAAACAGACCATCAATAACCTTTGTTAAAGAAAGAAAAGTGTCTTGGTGGTCAAAGAATAGCCAAATAGTGAAATGGTTTGGGGTTCAACAGCCAACTGGTGTGTATTAGCTTTGTGACCCTGGTTAAGAAAGTTTCACCCAGGCTTTTAGTTTTTTTCTTTATAAAATGAACATATTTCACTTCATACAATTATTATGAAAGTCAAAGTATATAATGCAATAAATATATCAGTATAGAATAAGTGGAGGTAGCCATTGTTTTGTCATAGTTCACTTTATGCTGCTATAACAAAATACCAGAGACTGGGTAATTTAAAACAAATTTATTTCTCACAGTTCTAGAAGCTGCGAAGTCCAAAATCAAGGCACTAGCAGGTTTGGTTGTCTGGTGAAGGCTGCTCTCTGCTTCCAAGATGGTGACTTGTTGCTGCATCCTCAGAGAGGAGAAATGCTGTGTTTTCACATGGTGAGTGGCAAAACAAAACAAAACAAAACCCCACAAGCCAACACCTTTTATAAGGGCTTTAAACCCATTTGTGTAGGCAGGTGCCCTCATGACTTAATCATCTCTTAAAAGTCCTCCCTCTTAATAGAGGATACATTCAAACCATAGCAATAGTGATCCTCTACTGCAGACCTCCATAAACCTTTACTCCCTTATTATTTAATTGGACTGGGATTTCTAAGACCTTATCAGAAATACCAAACATCACTTACCAGTATCTCATGGAAGAAGTAAAGCATGTAATAAAATTTTAGAGAATGCAAAGCTCAGACCTATTCCAAACCAATATGCCTGATCAAAATACTTTTCCAGGAATTATCTGAATTACAGGCTCTTAGGTTTACTACAATTAAATAACAATAACAATAAAACTAACTGAGGAAAAGAGGTACAATTCATTTCAAACTTGTTTTGCAATTCTCTAGTACAGACAATTCAGGTGCAAAAAGCACAAAAGAGACACACGATCATATCATAGACATGTTTCCTTGTGCATACATTGTGATCAGATGGACTCAAGCAGACAGTAACGCATATGACAGAATCTAAGGGAAACATGCTTGATATCCCTGTGATGGAGCCTTTGTGCTTATAGCTGTAGATGATTCTTTTTTCTTTTAATCTTTGCTTTTTTTATACTTCCCCATCTCCATCATATTACATATTTTTCCACAAGGACAATTAAAAATGTTTATGTTTGATACATTAGTAAACTAAGTACATTATTTAAATGTACACTGTAATTAACGGTTTATTTTAGTAAATTTGATCATATAAACAAATATTCTTAAAAAGAAGAAATCAATGTTTGCTGTGCCTTCTATGAGCAGATTATTTTATTATTCCTAACCCTGGTGCTAAGAATCAGTCTTTCTAAGGTGTCCATTATTGATTAAATCACAGCCTTTCCTTCAAACACAGTTTTTTTCTCCCTATTTCTCTTGGAATGATGCATAAAGGAGTCCTTCTTTTTTCTTTCTCCAGTGTACCCTGAAGTAGAAATGCTGTTTCATATCTATTTCTCTTCTGTTACTTGAATTACCAAGCTGGTCTTCTTTAGAGTCCTCTTGGGTTTCACAGACTCTAGCATCTTGTTTCCATTTACAATTAGTGAAGTCTGGAAATGTTTACTTGCATTTTTCATACTAAATTTTTATTAAGTTAATTTACCACATTACAGTTTTGGGAAAAGATACAAAGTTTATTGCATTTCATCTCTATCATTTTGGTAGACAGAGGGTATATCTGATAGTAATTAAAAATATATCTGCAGTAAAAAACAAAAGTTTAAGATTTACCTAAATTTCACATTGGCTAAGAAGCCAATTTTTGCTTTTTTATCCACTTAAGGCATGCTAAGTGCAAAGTTTCCATAATATGTGTATAATATACATTCTACTTCTGCTTTATCATAAATTCAAATAAGTTTTATTAAATAACTTATGAATGTAGACATAATGATAAGTTTGTAAATATGAGTAAAGAACAGAGGGCTGACCAACTCAAAAAGAAACCATAGACTTTGAGGAACAAAGAGTAATTAAGAAAGACATATGGTTAGAATTACAGTATGAAACAGATATGTTTATCTGTTTCCACATAAACAGATACATAATTGTACATGTGATTCCATTATACAGTTTGGAAGTCCTTAAGTCAGTAATATGTGATTCTCTTTCAAAATTTAACTATATGATTAATTTACATTTGAAATACAAACTATGCAATAAACTATGTGTCAACATATGAATACTTTCAAACTATTGTCCTTCAACTTTAAAATAATTTTAACAGGTCATAAAGTATGATTCTTCTCTTTTCTACCCTTCCAACCACTTAAAAGTGTAAAAACCACTATTGGATAGTGGACACAAACAAGCCACAAGACAGATTTGGCCTGCTGGTGGTAATTTGCCAACCTCTGTTACAGGATACGGAAAAACCATAGGCTGGTAATGGATTGCAAGTATTTCTCAAGTGAGTACAAAGCAAGATTTTTTTTTAAATTGGTGCTAAGGAGGAAAAGGAGGATGGATTTTTTTACATACTAATTAAAAAGTAACACTAAGTAGTAAAAGCAATGATCTACTAACACCTGGTCAAAGAAATGTGTAAAAGATGCAGCAATGTCATTTAAGTGGGGGAAACTGAGCCTAGCTTGGTACAAAATAAGTAAAGTGCCGAATACAAATCTGATCACAGTTGATACTTTTTGGTTCTTGCTTCTCATTCTCATTTATAGTCAGGAGACCTAAACCCTAATTCTAGCTCTGGTAAATCCGGTTCAATAAACTTAAGCAAGTTAGTTTTCCACATCTACATATTAAGGTGATTATTTTAAACAAAGCTTGATTCTCCAAAATTAAATTTTTAAGATTCTGGAAACAGGACATATGCAGAGCTAATATACCTTAAACTTCAGGACACCATAAAGTCACATAGCACTTCTATTCATGGCCAGTAGGCTACACTGTAACTTTTATGTATAGCTTACTGTTGAAAAGGCTAAAAAAGAAAAGTTTAGACTTACATCCTTACAGAGTGTGCTCTAAAGAACATAAAAAACGATTAACATCACTGAAATCAAGTTCCTAGCAAGTTTCTCTACTCAAAAGCTTCCAATGACTCTCCATGGCCTCTGAGTCAAGGGCAAGTCCTTCGAAGCAAAACAAGTTTCTAAAGTGACCTGACTCAATTCCCTCCCTGTCTTAACCTCCTTCTCCTCTTTCTCCTCTCCCCTTCTTGCTCACTGCCATCTAGCCACAGTGACTCCTTGCAACCCATGGACAGGCA
This sequence comes from Homo sapiens, assembly GCF_000001405.40. Taxonomy (NCBI): domain Eukaryota; kingdom Metazoa; phylum Chordata; class Mammalia; order Primates; family Hominidae; genus Homo; species Homo sapiens. The sequence continues at coordinate 645,537 of NT_187556.1, forward strand.
TGCTTCCACCACAGGGCCTTTACCCTGGCTCTTCTAGTAGATACCTATTCAGAATATACCCTCGTCTTCTTCACATCTTTGCTCAAAAATCAACTCAATGAAGCCCACTCAGACTACTCAATTCCAACCTAGCAAGGCAGGCCAACATTCAGATTCAGGAAACACAGAGAATGCCACAAAGATACTCCTCGAGAAGAGCAACTCCAAGACACATAATTGTCAGATTCACCAAAGTTGAAATGAAGGAAAAAATGTTAAGGGCAGCCATAGAGAAAGGTTGGGTTATCCACAAAGGGAAGCCCATCAGACTAACAGCGGATCTCTTGGCAGAAACTCTACAAGCCAGAAGAGAGTGGGGGCCAATATTCAACATTCTTAAAGAAAAGAATTTTCAACCCAGAATTTCATATTCAGCCAAACTAAGCTTCATAAGTGAAGGAGAAATAAAATACTTTACAGACAAGCAAATGCTGAGAGATTTTGTCACCACCAGGCCTGCCCTAAAAGAGCTCCTGAAGGAAGCCCTAAACATGGAAAGGAACAACCGGTACCAGCCACTGCAAAATCATGCCAAATTGTAAAGACCATCGAGGCTAGGAAGAAACTATATCAACTAACGAGCAAAATAACCAGCTAATATCATAATGACAGGATCAAATTCACACATAACAATATTAACTTTAAATGTAAATGGACTAAATGCTCCAATTAAAAGACACAGACTGGCAAATCGGATAAAGAGTCAAGACCCATCAGTGTGCTGTATTCAGGAAACCCATCTCACGTGCAGAGACACACATAGGCTCAAAATAAAAGGATGGAGGAAGATCTACCAAGCAAATGGAAAACAAAAAAAGGCAGGGGTTGCAATCCTAGTCTCGGATAAAACAGACTTTAAACCAACAAAGATCAAAAGAGACAAAGAAGGCCATTACATAATGGTAAAGGGATCAATTCAACAAGAAGAGCTAACTATCCTAAATATATATGCACCCAACACAGGAGCACCCAGATTCATAAAGCAAGTCCTGAGTGACCTACAAAGAGACTTAGACTCCCACACAATAATAATGGGAGACTTTAACACCCCACTGTCAACATTAGACAGATCAATGAGACGGAAAGTTAACAAGGATACCCAGGAATTGAACTCAGCTCTGCACTAGGCAGACCTAACAGACATCTACAGATCTCTCCACCCCAAATCAACAGAATATACATTTTTTTCAGCACCACACCACATCTATTCCAAAATTGACCACATAGTTGGAAGTAAAGCTCTCCTCAGCAAATGTAAAAGATCAGAAATTATAACAAACTGTCTCTCAGACCACAGTGCAATCAAACTAGAACTCAGCATTAAGAAACTCACTTAAAATCGCTCAACTACATGGAAACTGAACAACCTGCTCCTGAATGACTACTGGGTACATAACAAAATGAAGGCAGAAATAAAGATGTTCTTTGAAACCAATGAGAACAAAGACACAGCATACCAGAATCTCTGGGACACATTCAAAGCAGTGTGTAGAGGGAAATTTATAGCACTAAATGCCCACAAGAGAAAGCAGGAAAGATCCAAAATTGACACCCTAACATCACAATTAAAAGAACTAGAGAAGCAAGAGCAAACACATTCAAAAGCTAGCGGAAGGCAAGAAATAACTAAAATCAGAGCAGAACTGAAGGAAGTAGAGACATAAAAAGCCCTTCAAAAAATTAATGAATCCAGGAGCTGGTTTTTTGAAAGGATCAACAAAATTGATAGACTGCTAGCAAGACAAATAAAGAAGAAAAGAGAGAAGAATCATATAGATGCAATAAAAAATGATAAAGGGGATATCACCTCTTTATCGATCCCACAGAAATACAAACTACCATCAGAGAATACTACAAACACCTCTAAGCAAATAAACTAGAAAATCTAGAAGAAACGTATAAATTCCTTGACACACACTCTCCAAAGACTAAAACAGGAAGAAGTTGACTCTCTGAATAGACCAATAACAGGCTCTGAAATTGTGGCAATAATCAATAGCTTACCAACCAAAAAGAGTCCAGGACCAGATGGATTCACAGCCGAATTCTACCAAAGGTACAAGGAGGAACTGGTACCATTCCTTCTGAAACTATTCCAATCAATAGAAAAAGAGGGAATCCTCTGTAGCTCATTTTATGAGGCCAGCATCATCCTGATACCAAAGCCGGGCAGAGACACAACCAAAAAAGACCAATATCCTTGATGAACATTGATGCAAAAATCCTCAATAAAATACTGGCAAACCGAATCCAGCAGCACATCAAAAAGCTTATCCACTATGATCAAGTGGGCTTCATCCCTGGGATGCAAGGCTGGTTCAATATACACAAATCAATAAATGTAATCCAGCATATAAACAGAACAAAAGACAAAAACCACATGATTATCTCAATAGATGCAGAAAAGGCCGTTGACAAAATTCAATAACCCTTCATGCTAAAAACTCTCAATAAATTAGGTATTGATGGGACGTATCTCAAAATAATAAGAGCTATCTATGACAAACCCACAGCCAATATCATACTGAATGGGCAAAAACTGGAAGCATTTCCTTTGAAAACTGGCACAAGACAGGGATGCCCTCTCTCACCACTCCTATTCAACATAGTGTTGGAAGTTCTGGTCAGGGCAATTAGGCAGGAGAAGGAAATAAAGGGTATTCAATTAGGAAAAGAGGAAGTCAAATTGTCCCTGTTTGCAGACGACATGATTGTATACCTAGAAAACCCCACTGTCTCAGCCCAAAATCTCCTCAAGCTGATAAGCAACTTCAGCGAAGTCTCAGGATACAAAATCAATGTGCAAAAATCACAAGCATTCTTATACACCAATAACAGACAAACAGAGAGCCAAATCATGAGTGAACTCCCAATCACAATTGCTTCAAAGAGAATAAAATACCTAGGAATCCAACTTACAAGGGACGTGAAGGATATCTTCAAGGAGAACTACAAACCACTGCTCAAGGAAATAAAAGAGGATACAAACAAATGGAAGAACATTCCATGCTCATGGGTAGGAAGAATCAATATCATGAAAATGGCCATACTGCCCAAGGTAATTTATAGATTCAATGCCATCCCCCATCAAGCTACCAATGACTTTCTTCACAGAATTGGAAAAAACTACTTTAAAGTTCATATGGAATCAAAAAAGAGCCCGCACTGCCAAGTCAATCCTAAGCCAAAAGAACAAAGCTGGAGGCATCATGCTACCTGACTTCAAACTATACTACAAGGCTACAGTAACCAAAACAGCATGGTACTGGTACCAAAACAGAGATATAGATCAATGGAACAGAACAGAGCCCTCAGAAATAATGCCGCATATCTACAACTATCTGATCTTTGACAAACCTGAGAAAAACAAGCAATGCGGAAAGGATTCCCTATTTAATAAATGGTGCTGGGAAAACTGGCTAGCCTTATGTAGAAAGCTGAAACTGGATCCCTTCCTTACACCTTATACAAACATTAATTCAAGATGGATTAAAGACTTAAACGTTAGACCTAAAACCATAAAAACCCCAGAAGAAAACCTAGGCATTACCATTCAGGACATAGGCATGGGAAAGGACTTCATGTCTAAAACACCAAAAGCAATGGCAACAAAACCCAAAATTGACAAATGGGATCTAATTAAACTAAAGAGCCTCTGCACAGCAAAAGAAACTACCATCAGAGTGAACAGGCAACCTACAAAATGGGAGAAAATTTTCGCAACCTACTCATCTGACAAAGGGCTAATATCCAGAATCTACAATGAACTCAAACAAATTTACAAGAAAAAAACAAACAACCCCAACAAAAAGTGGGCAAAGGACATGAACAGACACTTCTCAAAAGAAGACATTTATGCAGCCAAAAACACGTGAAAAAATGCTCACCATCACGGGCCAACAGAGGAATGCAAATCAAAACCACAATGAGATACCATCTCACACCAGTTAGAATGGCAATCATTAAAAAATCAGGAAACAACAGGTGCTGGAGAGGATATGGAGAAGTACGAACACTTTTACACTCTTGGTGGGACTGTAAACTAGTTCAACCCCTGTGGAAGTCAGTGGGGGGATTCCTCAGGGATCTAGAACTAGAAATACCATTTGACCCAGCCATCCCATTACTGGGTATATACCCAAAGGACTATAAATCATGCTGCTATAAAGACACATACACACGTATGTTTATTGCGGCATTATTCACAATAGCAAAGACTTGGATCCAACCCAAATGTCCAACAATGATAGACTGGATTAAGAAAATGTGGCACATATACTATGCAGCCATAAAAAATGATGAGTTCATGTCCTTTGTAGGGACATGGATGAAATTGGAAATCATCATTCTCAGTAAACTATCGCAAGAACAAAAAACCAAACACTGCATATTCTCACTCATAGGTGGGAACTGAACAATGAGAACACACGGACACAGGAAGGGGAACATCACAGTATGGGGACTGTTGTGGGGTGGGGGGAGGGGGGACGGATAGCTTTAGGAGATATAACTAATGCTAAATGACAAGTTAATGGGTGCAGCACACCAGCATGGCACATGTATACATATGTAACTAACCTGCACATTGTGCACATGTACCCTAAAACTTAAAGTATAATAATAAAATAAAATTTAAAAAAAATTACAATATGTCCTTACCTCCCAGATTTCAACATACACACCCCACCCCCACCACACTGCTCTATCTTCTTTCCCATAACTGTACTACCATCTAGTCTTACTTATAATGTTAGCTGTTCATTGTTTGTAACCACCTTCCCCAACAGGAGAGCTTTTTCAGAGTCAAGACTTGTTTCTTTGACCCATTGTTACATTTTAAGTACTGAAAATAGTGCCTGGCATGAAGAAGACACTTGAAAAATATTTCTTGAATAAACAAGTGAATGTTTCCCCTAATGGAGGGTGGATATCACTATTTCTATTTTTAATAAAGCCACAAAAATATAGCAATTTGTCCAACTGTAAAAAATTTCAGCATTTCTTTTAATACAATTCATTTTTCCCAAAATAATGTTTTTACTCATACATTATTTTAAATCTTAAAATCAGAAATTTTATTTTGTTTGCTCAAATGCTTAAACCAAAATGATAATTTTTCAATACTCTCTTTTAAAAAAAAATAATAGGTAAAAGTATGTATCACATTGGTGTGTTGGTAAATTTTGCATTGTACTTGTTATTTGCTTTAAAATTTAACATTTAAGAAGCTGAGAGAACTGTTAAGCACATGCATTAATATTATTAGTTACGATAATAATAATAATATTAATCACTAACATTTGATTTCACACTCTGATCCAATTTTTAAAAGTACATTAAAACTTCAGGCATATAGTATCTTCATTTTTAAAATAACATTAATTTATTTACATTATAAAAAGAGTCTTTTTGCCTTTTCAGAAGAAAGTAATTCTATAAATGCACATCTACTTATCACATATACTAAATGAATATATGGTTTTAATTCATCTGAATATACACACTGTTTGAGTTTACTTTAGAGTTGGAGATCATCATTGATCATATATTATTTGATAACTAGACTGCCTTTCTTCCAAGCTGGAAGGCTATATTACTTTACTCTTCCTTTTAGGATGAGGATATTATCTCAGGGATTTATGTTCTGGATCTATATAAGCAAAAATAAAATGATTTATATTGTCTTGCCTGCTTTAGGTAGATTATTTTGTAGCACATTCAAAAATTGGCCTTCTGTTAAGAATAGCAGATAATACAGATAACTTTATCTTAAGTTCCCGAGACTAAATTACAAATAAAGAAACAAAAAAGCTAACCAAAGACAAACCAGAAGAACACATCATTTTCATAAAAAGCCAGGAAACGGGCCGGGTGAGGTGGCTCACGCCTGTAATCTCAACACTTTGGGAGGCCGGGGTGGGCGGATCACGAGGTCAGGAGATGGAGACCATCCTGCCTAACATGGTGAAACCCCGTCTCTACTAAAAATACAAAAACAAAATTAGCTGGGTGTGGTGGCGGGCGCCTGTAGTCCCAGCTACTAGGGAGGCTGCGGCATAAGAATGGTGTGAACCCAGGAGGCGGAGCTTGCAGTGAGCCAAGATCGCACCACTGCACTCCAGCCTGGGCGACAGAGGAAGACTCAATTCCAAAAAAAAAAAAAAAAAAAAAAAAAAGCCAGGAAAGAAACAGAATATCATGTGCGTCAGAACTATCCATACTTCCATTGCTCTGTTTATTTACTCAAAACATGCATTTGGAAGAAGTTAAAACCAGTCTTCTAGGCTAAAGTCAATAAATCTTTTAAATTTTAACTTCTTTGAGATTTCTGTAAGATTTGTCAGTCTTACCTGTTCCTTTCTTGAAACATTCTCTTCCTTTAAATTTCCTGTTACTCAATATTGTGGTTTGTACTTAACTCGTTATATGTTGCTTCTCTGGCCCCTTTTGCAGGCTCAATTTTCTGGCTCTTCTATAGACTATCATAAATGTTGGTATTCATGAACCCTTTTCATACTCTGTTTATTCTTCCAGGGCAATACTAGCTTAGCTCCTTCTCACTTCTGTCAGTATCTTTATGCTAACGGCTCCTTAGTTAGGATCTTTCTCCTAACCCTTAAATATTCAAACTTTGAGCCAATGGCACATGGCTGGCCCACAGTCACCTAAACCAGCATCTTCAACCCCACAACTCACAGTGTACACATACACACACACACAAACACAAAACATACACACTCATAATCTGCCTCCTCTCAAATAACTTATGTATCAAAAAATGGCATCACGATTCACTACGCTTGTACAATTAGAAAACCAGGCAACATGTCCGCCTTCCTTCCCTAAACTCACATGCCAATAACCTTCTACTCCTATCAGTTACATCTCCAAGGCATTTCTGAAATCAACTGACTTCACTCAATCTGCATCACCAGTATTTCAGGTTTTGCATCCCCATCTCTGACCTACAGTCGCTAAATCTGCAGGCTAACTCCAGTTCTGCCTATTGTCTCCCCATTCCTAACTACAGCTTCCAAAGCTGGTCGCCCTTTTTTGTTCCACTAAACTCTACCCCCTAGATTCACTGGGAAGTTTTCCTATGAATCCGTATTACTGGCATTGCATTAAGGAGCTGAGGTCTTTGTCAGTCTATGAGAAGCCCTTAGGGAGTGAAAGCGGCCCCATAGGTGAGAAGTAAGACAGAGAATAAACATTTGGAGATCATATCCGTTAGTGTATTACTCCTACTATATTTCTCATCAGTTCTCTTCCATGCTACTGCCTAGGTTATATTTGTAATAAAATGATTTCATATGGGTTGATGCTGTTCAATATTAGTGCATGGTATTCTATTATAAATCATACATTCTCTAAGTAGATAGGACTCTTTGCTACCTCAATATCTTAAAATAATATCTGCTGTAGTTGATTACCTTAAGCTGGAAGACTTGTTAAAGCTGTGGAATGAAGATTCGTTGCTTAACTTTATTCCATTAAAATAAGTTGTTCAAGCACATTTCTGTTTTTAAAATGAATTTTTTTTCTTTAAAACAATCTATTTTTACATAGAATTTAAAGAGCATACAATTTTCATAATGATTGCAGTTCCAAGGGCTGATTATTTCAATTACAACACTCATTTAACAATTATTTGAAGTCTAGATACCTGTTGAAACAACAGAGTTTACCCTACGAAGACAAAAGCAACACTGCAGTCAGACTGAAACACAATCATGGAAGATGGTTGTGTCACAGCCCCACGACTTATGCAATTTTGGAGCCCAGGACTTATGCAATTTTGGAGCATTAACATTATTCTGAAATGTGCTCCATATTTTGCCTGTGGTTTACCTAAAAAGACCAAGAGAGGCACAGTAGTGCCTTCTGCTCTTCACTGCTAAGCTGGGGTGACATAAGACCTCTTTCCACATAGTCTTGCCAAGCAAAACCTAAGTATACTAGTTAGAAGGAGAAACATAGCTTCTTTATGAGAGAAAGTATTTTAGAATAACTCACAAATTAACAAGTTTTCTTTAATTAATGTCACTACTGAAGGGGGTAGCATTTAACATCAGGGAGGCCCAACTTTAGCAACTATATTTTAGCTTAAATAAGTACCCATGTTTCATTATATCATACAGAACAGGTAATTTCAATGGATGTAAAGGATAAAAATACACAAAACACCCCTTTGGTTGGACTTTAAGAGAAAAAGTTATTTGTAAAATGCATAAAACATTTAAGTTTTTTTGAAAGTAGTTGAATGGAAAGGCTCACTAAGAACCCTTTCTGTGTGTGATATGTGCAAATCAAGTGGCTTCTTATGAGTCTCTAAAATCTGGTTGTTAGAGAAAATAATCATTAAAGCCCTTGAAATTAAAACATATATAACTCTACCAATTGCTAAGTTTAATAACGATGATTACCTGTTTAAAGAAATGCAACTTTGCACAAAGAAAAGCATCTCCAGATTTATTTGTTCAAGAGAATTCAGTAGAACGCTAAATTCCCAAGGAGTTCATTTTCACATACAATCAGCACATGCTCCCTAGTCCAGCTAGGAAGACAGTTAACAAACTGATAAAACCTAGAAGAGAGAAGAAGACAAGAAACTATTTTTTTAATAAAACAAAACTTGTGAGAAACAAGGCACTCTAACTCACCATGGCAGTTTAAGAAATGGATCATATACCACCGTGCTGCTCAAAAAGCAGTGGCAAATGGCAGTTCTCTGGCATGCCTATTTTGTTACTTCCATATTTCTTAAATAATTTTTTTTCTGAAGATAAAAATAGCTCTTTATTCTACTCAAGTATTCTTTTCTTGAATGCTATAAAGATGAGCTAAACAGTAAGTTTGAAAAAGAAGACAAGAAAGAGTCGATACTCTTTTTACTAGATTTTTGAAGAATTCCCGTTTCAAAGTCATCATTTTATTGGCTTATCACTGTCATTTTAGTGCAGACTAATTAATATCTGAAATAAAGTTGACTAATAGAGGTGGCTTCAACCAGATTTTTCTCCTTCTTTTATTTTTCTTCTTTACATGAATCACCAAATAATACTGGATTATCCTTCTACATCTTTAGTAGCTTAGAGGATTTAAAGTTTCCTTTTTTCCACAAAGAGTCCATAAACATATCAGGCTTGAATAGTTAGTCTAGGTACTTTCACTATGACTCGCCTTGTTTATATAAAACAGAAATGTAAGAAAACAAGTCTACTAGAATCTAAATGTATTATTGCTATGGTAGCATTACTTTTCTCTGGCTGAGAAAGTCAAGAAACACACAAAAAGAAAAGAAATCAAGAAAACAAATAGAAATGAAACATTTATAGTTAACATTTAAAAAACAAGTAATTTAGGAAAGAAAGGCTATCCATGCAGGTTGAAAATTGGATCTTCAGAAAAATACAGATTCTGTCAATTATTCTAAGTAAAACTCAAATGTTTCATTTTTGCCATAATAAAATTAATAGCATCCTTTAAACTTTAACTACACAAATGAATTGTTATTAAAAGAATTTCACCCAGAAGAACCCAAATACAATTTCATAGAATAAGACCAGTATCCTTCTACTAATCAATCCCTCAGTATTTATTAATTATGTGTTATATGCTAGCTATTATGATGGATGCTATAGGGAATGCATTAGTTTGTTCTAACACAGCTATGAAGAAATACGTGAGACTGGGTAATTTACAATCATGGCAGAAGGCAAAGGCGAAGCAGATATCTTCTTCACAGGGTGGCAGGACAGAGTGAAGGGGGAAGCCTCTTATAAAACCATCAGATCTCCTGAGAACTCACTCACTATCACAAGAACAGCGTGGGGGAAACCATCCCCATGATTCAGTTATCTTCACCTGTTCTGCCCTTGGCACATGGAGATTATGGGGATTACGATTCAAGATGAGAATTGGGTGGTGACACAGAGCCTAACCATACCAGGGAATAAAGGAAAATATAAGAATCTGTACCTTTATTTCAACAAAAACATTCAAGAAGGTTATAGCTCAGTGAATCATGAATGCCAAAAGAATGATAGAATGGATTGGATTTCTATTTGCCAGTTAGTGGAGCAATGGATACAATGGAATGAGCTAATAAGTGAAAACAAAAATGCAAGATAATTTAAAGAGAAACTAAGTTAGAAGACAGATGTTATAAAACAGAACTGGGGCTAGACAAGAAACAGAGAGAGCCTTAGGGACCAGCCACTTTACTATGACAAAGAGGAATTAATAATGTTACTTTCATTCGAGAGAATCGGCAAGGTATGGTGGCTCATGCATGTAACCCCAACATTTCAGGAGGTTGAAGCCAGAGTAGCTTGAGGCCAGGAGTTCAAGGCTAGCTTGGTCAACATAGGCAGACAGCATCTCTGAAAAAAAAAATTTAAAAATTAGCCGGGTGTGGTGGCATGTGCCTGTAGTCCCAGCCACTCGGGAGGCTGAGGCAGGGAGGATCACTTGAGCTCAGGAGTTAGAGACTGCAGTGAGCTATGACCACAGCACTGCATTCCAGCCTGGGCAACAGAGTGATATTTTGTCTCAAAAGAAAAAAAATTAAGAGAATCAAAATTTATACTTTAGAAAAATTAATACTAATATGGTGTCAGCTGCACATGATCTGTGTGGGGAAAACAGAAATTCAAGAGGTATACTTGAAACATTTCGGAGGTCTGAGGTTCAGGTCACATGGCATGAAATAGGGTGGTAGTAGGAATAAAAACTATCAGATAAAAACTCATTTCAAAGGACATGTTTAAAGGATCTAGATGCCAGTTAGATGTAGGGGGAGTAAGAAAGTGTGAGAAACTGGTTCCATTTTAGATATAATTAGTTTAAGGTGATGTACATCAACATGGAAATTTCTAGCAGGCAGATAGAAGGCTCAGAGCTCAGAAGAAAAAAAAATATATATATATATATATGGATATATACATACACACACACACACATAGACACACACATACAAGACAAACACAGAGAAACAAAGAAAAAAACACAGAAAAAAATGTATATGCATGAATCCAGCACTAAGGAAGAGTATCATAAATATCCTACTTTATGCTGTATATAAAATCAAACCCAAAGTCATCAAATATTTAAATTGGAAAGGCAAATCATAAAATTTTTAGAAGAAATATAGAATTAAATAACCTCAGTGCTGGGAAGAGCTTCTTAACAAAGTCATTCCTTTTTTATTTGTAAAGTAAAAAAAAAAAAAATCAAAAAAAAATCAATATTAAAATTAAGGCTTTTTGTCCAAAGAACTATAAGAAACTGAAAAAATAAACCCAAGCCAAGACAAGCATGTATTATTGTCAAATGATTACTATCTAGACCAGAAAAGAAGGCTTCCCAATTGATAAGAAACAGATAAACCAATAGATAACTGAGCAAAAGACACAAATGAAAACATGAAAGGGAAAGAAACACAAATATCAGATATTTGAAAACATGCTCAACCTCAATGGTAGTCAGAAAAATTCAAATTTGGACCACAATATTATCTTTACCTAATAGGAAAAATAATCTGAAAATGTGCAAATAAATACCAAGGGTTACTCAGCATATGCATCAATAGAAATGCATACTGCCAGCTGGAATGCCAATTGTTCAGTCATTTTGGTGAACAGCTTAGAGTCAACAAGTTGAATACATAAACCACATGACTTAGCAATATCACTACTTAGCAATATCATACACATGTACATGAATGCTCATAACAACATTTTTAAAAATATTACCACTAGAAAACCAGAAAACAACCCAACTATCCATAGACAAATGACTGAATAATCAATTTCAGCTTATTCAAAAATAGAATGCTATACAACACTGAAAAAAATGATTACCACTACATAAACCTGGATATTGACTGGGAAAAAAAAATCGAGTAGCCAAAAAATATACAAATCATGATACCATTTATAAAACATTTGTTAACTGTATAAAACAAAATATTTGTTTAAAGTAAATTAAAGAAAAAAGAAACAAAATGATGAACAAAAAATTCAAAATACTACATTCCTTAGGATAGAAGGAAAGTGATTAATAGAGAGAAACTTTTAGGAAGTACTGGTAAGATTAAGTCGATTTCCATAAAACATACATATATTATTATTATTTATATTTCCTGATTAGTCATGTATAAAATATTTCACCAAAAATAAATATTAATAAAAGAAAATTAAATACACGAACTGCTTGCATTTAGAGGAATTTTTTTTAAAAAGGTGAAAAAAGAAAAAACGATCAAAAAAGTTTACCAAAAAATAAAGGATAGTATAGGCTTTTATATCTAAGGAAGGAAGGAGAGTCCAATAATCTCAAATATTACATGGAAGTCAACGGGAATAAGGACTTGGGAAAAGTCAGAGATATCTCATCAGAAGACAGCAATTTTCGACGCATGAAAGGAATAGCAACCAAGTTACAAGTTATGAGACAATTTGAAAGGAACTAGAGGCATTAAGTAAAAACCACCCTACGAAGTCCAGCTATGAAGAACATATGTCCAGAAAGACAGGGCAAAGTTTTTCACTGTCCTTCTGTACATCAATTCTTCTTAAGTTTCATAAACTTTCGCCAAGCTTTGCAGCTGAATGAAACCTTTACATATTTGCAAAGAGACAGGTAGGCATCAGTGGACACGTGGTGTACACCGGAGTAGGCCTGGAGAAAAGAATCAAAGATTCAGGAGAAGGCAGATCATTGTTAAGGTTACATGTCACTTTTAAATAAATAATATTATAATCTTGGGCACTAAAAAATGATAGGGTTGCCATTCTCTATATTAAATGTCTCACCACTCAACAGTCAAGTCAATAGGTTATCAATTACAACCCTGCTAGAGAACAACTTCTTAATTCAAAGATTTAATATTTTTCATTCTTTTTTCACTTACCACACAGTCTAATCCAACTGAGCATTCACTAGACCTTTTTAAAAACTGAGACCAACTAAAAGACATGGTACAGACATCACCTCTCCTACTCTCAATTCTCTTAACCCCTGGTGCAAGGACAAAATCTTTTCCTAATAGGGACATGGTTCCTCTTGGAAGAGGAGTGGGAAGTGAAAGTTAGGGTATAAATGGGGCTTCCTGGAACAAAGCTGATGGCAGAGAGGGGTGGGGGAGCCTAGAGTCCAGGAGTAATCAGAAATCAATTCAGATCATCTAGAGAGTAGGAAATCATTACAGACCAGATGCAGGAGTCCTGGTCTGCAACCAACGTTCGGACCCTACACAAGGCAATGGCTATGCTGAAGTGTGGTAGCTGCTACATAAAGCAGCTTGCTGACCTCCCCACACTGGAGTTACTGCCGTCAAAGTCTGTTACCTCAGCAGCTGAAATAACTTCTCATCAGCCTCTTTGTTTTATATTATGGAAGGAGAGAACCTTAAAAAAACTTAAGAATTAAAAAATGTTGTGTGGCCAGCTTGTAATAAGAAGTACAAATGTCATTCTAATTCATATTTTCCAAACCATTCCCTCTGAATTAAGATATTCTGATTTTTTTTATTTCTCCTTCTCATGGCTAATAAATTAACACCATTTTTATAGAAAATTTCCAATTCTCCCTGGTACCAGTTCACTCCCTCCCAACAATATGATCACAAAAAATGGTTTAAGTAATCTCCCTTATCCACTGTCTTTCTAGTAGAGGTAATAAGATTGAAAAATAATATGGAAAGTTCCAGTCTCGGTGCCTACAAAAAAAATGCCATCCACTTATATGCAGGCTAATCAGAAATGCAAAGGTACTAGACAATGAATAGCCTTTCTCTTATCTTTCTTTTCTAAGCTTAGTGAGCTACTCTGTCTTTACCCAACAAGCACATGCTTTATTAAGTTAGTTATAGATGACTAAGCTTTTACTTGGATAACAGGGGAAGTAGATTGTGCCTTCTTTCTCTCTGATTTCTGGTCACTCCATAAGATAGCTGATAGATATACATGGTCTCACTGGGTGTAGAGATGATTTGTTAGGATTTATTGGCTGAGGTGAGAGGATTGTTTCTGTAACATGAGCTCTCTCTGAACTAGAGTGAGACCCAAGGCTGAAACTCAATATACGGCATAACCTCTTGACAAGGGTAGTCCACTGAATTTCAGTTAGCATAGTGATAACTAAGAAGCACAGGATAACGTTGCCTTCCGTATCCTTTGCTGGATGTTTTTCCAAAAAAACAAACAAACAAAAAACTCCGAACAAGGAAGACACAAAAACAAACTCATTTAAAAATGCTGTACCTTACACAACTCAGGCCCATAGCTAAATAACTCAACTGGCTCCAAACTGGGAAGCAAATGGCAATGAAAAAGCAGAAAGGACCTTTTGCTGCACTGTGAAGGCAGCCCACTGACAATTCTCAGAGGCAAGTGGCACCGCAAAAAGGAACTCTCAACATGAACAAGGAGCTTCCTGCTGCCAATCAATGGAGTACTCTTGGCTGTATGCTGAGTGAATGCCATTTATTAACTGGGCTGCATTAAAACCAGCAGGTCCATTTGTGAACAGCAACCCACTTTATTCTCCAGGAGATCTTGGGGAGTAGCATGCCCTTCTATGGCACAATGAATCTTACTTGGCATATTGGACACAGAACTTGTCCGACTTGGAACCACTTGGTACTTAAAGCAAATAAAGGATTAGAACACCCAGGTGTAGGAGATTAAGGACTTAACAGGCAGATGGAGGAGAAGAGCATAATCTGGACATCCTTCAGCTTTTATTATAAGGGAAAGTTCCCCCGGGATCCCAGCAGAAAGAACAAACTTAAATGAACAAAATTTAGCAATTCTGTTGACAAAAGAATATTTGAATAGACTTTTAAAAAATATGAGTTTGTAAGCCAAAAACCTGATTACCTTTCATAACAAAAAAATAAATCTCTACCCAAGAGAAAGGGAACTAAGTAACAAAAATATGCCTTGCTTTCCACAGGTCATCATCTAAAAATGCGAACAACGCAACTTCATAGGTCTAGTTCAGACCGATGGGGCTTGAATCGTACAGTGTGTGGATGTCCAGTAAATGCTGTGTTATGGGCCCCTTTGATCTGCTGAATTCAGTCATAAGATTGACTTGTAAAAATCATCACTGTCATCACATTGTTCTGCTGATTAGCCTCTTCTGAGTGGTCCAAGCACCGAGGAGTCAGACAGAAAAATCTCCCACCCTGGATTTGGAAACTTCTCAATAAGGTACAACTTTTTCAACATACTACTTCCCTCCTCATTTCAAGACCCTCCATGTGGGCCAGAGAGAGCAGTATGGCTGGCCCCTTACACAGTATGATCGTTCTCATTTCTGACCACCTGAGACTGCTATCTATGCCTTATAATTGGGAAACCTCAAGTGCCTTTTACTCCTGCCTTTACACACCCACCATTTTCATGCCCACCATAGTAGCTCAATTTTTTAAGAGACAGGGTCTTGCTATGTTGCTCAGGCTGGATTAGAACTCCTGGGTTCAAGCGATCCTCCTGCCTCAGCCTCTCAAGTACCAGATCAACTTTTACTGGACCCCAGAGCCTATGTGTTTCTTCCTTCTTGGAGATCCTTTATTAGTACTATTTTCTCCACAGTACTAATATTTTGATCCTTTTCCTTCCCATTTAAGGGTCATGACCAACACTCCTATCACAAAAACAGGTTAACAAGAGAAAAACATAACAAATTTATTTGATCATAGTTTAGACGACACAGGAACCTTCAGAAGGAAGACCCAAAGATATGGCAAAAAATCCATTTTTATGCTTAGGTTCAATGATGTATGGACACCCATGTAGAAATATGATTTCACATAAAGAGTATGATCTAATTAATGCTAGTAGACTGAGGTGAAGAAACCCAGCAAGGCCTGTCTGTTCAAATTCTTCTTGGCCACTTTGTACAGCATTTCTTCCTCCTGGGTACAGGGCAGGACCCTTTCTAGTATTCGGGTCTTTTGACCTACATGCAAATAAGACAGGTCAGATAATTTCTTCATGGCCAGTTACTTCACAGAAAGGCAGGGGAAAGTTAGAGCAGTTGTTTTTAGGTGTTATGGCTGGCTTTGAAGAAAAAGAGAGGTTCTGGTTTCTATGCCCTGCCATGGGGAAGAGGTTCCTGTGGAAGCCAACTGTAGTTTCAGTGGCTAGCCTTGGGGGAGTAGAAGTGAGAAACAGGAAGGAAGGAGAAGGTCAGAGAGAAACTTTTATTTCTGAAACTGCTTCGGAGGTCTTCATTTTGGAGATTGTTTTCTGCACCCTAACAACTCTTTGGACATTTAATGACACAAAATACAAGGCTGCCAATGTGGATGTTTTATCTCTCTCAGAAGACTTTCTTCCCCTCATTGTTTAATTATGGCATTTTCAAACATATATAGAGTTAACGATAATAGTATAACCAAGTCTCATTTAACCATCATTTTCCATTAAAAATTATCGATGTATACGCAATTGTCTTAGTGGACTTTATATTCTCTAAGGAAAAGTATAAAATTGTTTTCATTTTTTTTTTTTGCTGGTTTTGTCCCTAAACACAGACTAGTGCTAAGCATGTACTAAGAACTTAGCACTTGGTTGTGGAAATGAATTAAACTTCAGTTCACCAAAGTTCTGAGCATTCCATGAAGTATTCAGCCTCATCCAATCAATTCTTGGATACACAACCCATGAAACCATTCAGTGTTTTTAAAGAAACATTAACAAATAATATTAAAGAATAAGTCCCCTGAGAAAGTGTATGCATATAAAATAATTCTAACTTTATTCTTGTACCATCATTGAATACTTAATCAGCAAGCCAATTTTCTTTTGACACCAAGACTGGAAAATCATCACCAATATACAGTCTGGCACAGGAGACAGGGACTAGAATTTCACAAGAGAGAGGAGGGCTAGCTCTATTCTCACTAGAAACAAGACCTAAAGCAAGTCACTTACCCTCTGTCAGCCCTTATCTCTAAAATAAAAATAGTTGTACTTTTCCCAGTGACCCCATAGTGCTATTGTGAGGATGATTTTTTTAAAATTTGTACAATTGCTTTCTGAAATATAAAGCACCTAATTGTTATATTGTCTTTATGGGACACCCTGACCTTTTTAAAAGAGGGCCTATAATACTATTGGAGGAAAAATACCTGAAATACATATAACAAGCAAAATGTCTAATAAGCAATACAGGCAACACACGTCCAAGGAGAAGGGAGAGACCACTGAGTGCAGAGGTATTAAGCAAAGGCTACGTGGCAGAAGTGGACATAAAGTTGGGTCTTAAAGGACAAACAGAACTTGGACAATGAAAAGGAAGAAACAAAGCCATTTCAGGACATACATATATTACATCCTAAAAAAAAGAATGGTAGAAAGATTAGAGTAGTTGCCTGAGGCTAAATGACGAAGGACCTCAAATAAAGGCTGAGTGTTTTGACTTTAAAGGAAACACTGGCAAAATCTGAGGAGCTCAATATCAGCAAATTAGCATCTCCCAACAAGTAATTGACTTATAATAGATTTTAAGGTGAGAGAAAATAGGAAATTACCGTTATCAAGACCAGACACAATCAGAGCTGTGAGTAAACAGTAAAAAAGACTAAAGAAAAATATAAATGGGAAGCACGTACAAGATGAGACTAAGAATGAGTAAATAGGGTCCCTTGATAAAAATTATCTGAAAGCATTAGGATTCTTTCCTCAGATTGCAAAGCTCACATAACTGGAATCTACCCATCTCATCTTGAAAAAGGTAACCTTTGACCTCTGTATCTGTCTCTGTCCCTCTGCAATGCCAATTTCCTTCCATATTTAGGTCCTTGGTTTTTTTCTGTCTCTAAGGTATTTCCCCTGATCTCTGCATGCCTAGTTCGTTTTTGTCATTCAGATCTCCAGGTGACAGTTCTTCCTAGAACACCTGGTCTAATGCAGTTTCTAAGACTTCTGCTTTCATATTTTTTAAATTTTAATTATTTCTTTAGCACTTGTTGTATTCTAATCTTTTTCTCATTTATTTATCTGGATTTTCTCCCCCACTGGCTCTGACCCCTAGAGTAGAATTCCTGGGACTATAGGAACCTTGAAACTTATTCAGCACTGTCCAACCCCAGCACCCAGAAGGGTGCCTGGCATGGATTAGGTTGCTCAATAACCACTCACCAAATGGATAAAATAAATAAGTCAGTACAGCAGTCCTTCAGAGAGAAAGTGTTTCTGTTTTCTTCAGATCTAATTGGGTCCTATGCCTTCTTCAGGCTGGGAATTCCACTTCCCTTAAATGCTGTGAGTGATTCCCAAATCTTTTCAATTCTGTCTCTTTTCTACTTAACTAGCTCTAGTTGGTGTCTGTTATTTTTAAATAAGAGCTTTAAATAGACAATTTTGTGAACCTAATAAATCACAGTAGACTAGCTATCATCCCATATTGCAGGGACTGAAACTCAAGAAGTCCCACAACATAGTCACTCAGTGAGCAAGGAGGCCTTGACAGAATGGACATGAACATGTGATAATGGATATTAAACACAGGTCAAATGAGAACTAATCCAAACCTTTACCCAATATACAAAATGGCCTCTACTTTTTTCTCCACCACTATTTAAAAAAAAAAAAAAGGAGACCTTCTACTTCTAATTCTCACACTTCATGTCACAATGTCTAATATACGTATCAGAAAAACAATTATTTGGTTCTCTTTATTGTTCTGCTTACAATGGGTCTCACTCCAACCCCCCAAGACATAGAAAGAGGGGGTTAAATGAAAGAAAAAAACAAACAAACAAACAAAGGAACAACAACCAAAAACAAAACACAGAAATTCATCCTGGTATTTATGGAGCTAAATTGACTTCATCTCTTTGTAAGCCTTACATTACTAAAGTTTACAACCAAACCAAAAGTGTCTTTTAATAAATATAAGCCCAGAGAACCATGGTATCTGTTTCTAATTATTATATTTGTGATGTTGTTGCAAAATGCCAGGATCTAAAGATATTTAAGCTTGAACCAAACCTTGTCTCTAGGTACTAGACATTTTTCATTCTTTATTATTTTATTGAATTATTACTTGGTATAAATTTGACTATAGACCTTATTTTTAAACATAAAATGTGAACTGATTTACTGCTTCTAGAGGGCTGAGAAGAATGATTTTTTAACAGATCATTCAAAGAATATTAAGAATCTAATTCTCATAAGGGAATTCCAGTGGTGTGTGCAATGATTATTTATAACTAAATGCAGAAATAACATGTAGTAGCTAGTTTTATAATGATAGTTTTAAGAACACCTTTTGAAAATCAAGACAGCTAAAATTAACTATAAATTGTCCACTAGATTACATGAGTAAAATTTAGTGTCCAAAGTTTGTTTTCGTTTATATTCCAACCCCACTAACAACAGAATAATTAGATTCTATGTAATATTATGTAATGAATAATAAAATTGAAAAGACTACAAATGTCTGACATTTGCTGTATATTTCCTTCTTCCCACATTCTCTCAAATGAAAAATGTATTTGTTTTCTAAGAATTGAAACTGAAATCACCACAGCACAAAAGTTAAATTTTAGATAAAAAACGTATTCGTTTTTGTTTGTCCCTTATAACACCAATATTTTGTTCACATATTATATACACACTGAAGTGAAGAAAAATAAGTCTTTGAAATGAAAATGGACAGAGTTCACACAAAAATTCAAGTTGTTCAAAAACTGGAAAGCCCTAAAAACTAGACCAATTCCAATTAACTATCAAAGTCAGCAGACAACATAATTGAAGACAAAAATAATTTTAAATTGTTATCTATTTGTCATGTATTATATGAAACAGTATAGCATTGTCAGAAACATCATTAAACTGATTAGACGGAAATGGTTCTCACATTTATCTGCCTGATCAATGTACGCTAAATAATTAATAAAGAAGTATGCAAAACAAGAAATCAGAAATGTATTTTTTCAGATTCAGCAAACCAAAGTGAGTGCTAGTTGAGAACATAAGCAAAGAACTGGTATCTCTTCCACTGCTCCTTTTAGCATCTGTCTTCCTCATTCCCCTTAGATAAAACAAACTCCTAAGTAAGAAAAAATCATGCATTGAACAAACAATGCTTATTTCTCCTGACCGCTCATTATTTTTCAATCAGTTACTGAAAGGGAATTGGACTAATTTATGGAAATATTTCTCAAAAGAAACAATGAAGGGTACTGTGGCAGCTGCCACCACCCTACATAAAAGCAGGTATGACTGAGCAGAATGAAAAGAGGCTTGTCACAGATTTACATTAATTGTTCTGTTAACTACCAGGGCTCTTTTGTTCATCTGTTAAAATTTATTTACACAACCATAAGTTTCATCAATGAATCAACAACAACTATTTAAAGTCAAAGTAGAGCAGACATTTTGTAATAAAAGCAAATCACCATCAGGAACCAGAGAGGTCACCTTCACAGGGTTCTAAGCTTTTTCTTTTTTTTTTTTTTTTTTTTAAATTTGAGACAGAGTCTCACGCTGTCGCCCAGGCTGGAGTGCAGTGGTGCGATCTCCACTCACTGCAACCTCCGCCTCCTGGTTCAAGCGATTCTCCTGCCTCAGCCTCCTGAGTAGCTGGGATTACAGGCACCCGCCACCATGCCCGGCTAATTTCAGGATTCTAAGTTTCAAGAAAACAATGACTATAATAATATGAGGGCCTTTCCAACCCATTTGGGGTACTCTGTTTGCAACAAAGAGAATCGTTAAGATTAAAAAGTAGCAGCAAAGATGTTTTGTTAATAGCCTATCAAATAAAAGGTATTTTGCCAGTGTAAAAATAAGCCACGATGACCGTGTTAGGTAAATCCTGTTGCCGTAACTAAAATAAGTCTATCTAGTTGTGGCTAACTTCAGAAGTCACTGATACAGCTAAAGACCAAACTCATAAAAATCATACTATTTTACTAAAGACAAAAAATGGGAAATAATATTGCTCCACCACTACGTAAGCACAACTTCAACTGTGCATGAAGGTAAGAAACATTTACTTAGCACACGTTCAAATATTAATACAAGTAAAAGATGACAAACATGAAAGTATCCAGCCTAGTATCCCACTCACAGTAGATACCCAATAGATCATCTTTCTTCCTTCCTTTCTAGCCTGTTTAGTCAGTGATCCACTGTCTTATAGCCCTGTTTAAGTCTTCTCTCTCCAAATAGATTGAAAAAAAAAAACTGCTTCATTCATTGGTAGATATATATTTTTTTAAATTCTGCCACGTGTCTCATATGTGCCATCCACAAACAGTATGTGCTGACAGGTAGTATTGCTTGAAAGCTTAAGACACAACATGATGTATAACAATGCTTTTGGCTGCACAGGAGAATAGTCATCTAAAAATTCTTTAAATAATTTTATTATTATTATTATTTTGAGAATAGGACCCAGGCTCCTTGAATGCCTTCTTCTGTCACCCTGTTTGTCAGCTATTTCCTTCCTCGCAGTTACAAAATGATCACAATGGCACCAAGAGCCATGTTCTCATACAACACTCTCTTTATTATCAGGGAGGAACATCTTTCCCAGAAGTTTCCTGGCAGACTTTCCTTCCTAATTGACCAGAACTGTGTCGCATATAGCCATCCTTACCTACAAAGAAGCTGGGAAAGCAAGTAAGCTGGTTGGAACTCCTGCCACTATGGAAGAAAGCTAGGAGAATAACTAATAAATAGACAACAAACAATATCCACAACACTGCTATACAAGATCATGAGCAGAGTCACTTACAATGCTTATGCAGGAAGTTACCGCTATATGATATATCTAGAGAAAAAAAAATCCTGCTGCTTGTCTTTCTAAAGTGGGTCTCTATATGGATGAATGCAGATCAGCAAAAAAATTGGAAGAGTTCTGAGAGCTATGACAGAGGAGGGACATCCCCTCTTTTTACTCTTTGCATGGATGGTTCATGAGTATGTTCTTCTTACACAGGCCTCTGTGCCTGAAGATCAATCTTTTAGAGGCTTTTTATTCAAGTAAAAATGGTCACTTGGTTTAAGCCCCAATCTTTTCAGATCCAAAGCCAGTGGAATCTCTGGAGTATAACAATCTTTCTACTGACAAAATATCAATATAATATACATTAATATAACCCCTTTAAAAGGAGACAAAAACAGAAAATCTCATGCCTGTCAATTCTTACATTTTTTTTCAAACCAATGGAAAATGTTAAGAAGAAAATGCATTGCAAAAGTTGTGTTTGTTTCTCCATGTATTGGGGGAGAAAAAGGCACTTTCTGCTATACTATCACATTCCAATTTCTGGACAAACCCCTGTAGTTTTCATCACACATCATTTTTGTGATTAATGATGGGCACCCAGTTAATGGAAAACAGTAGATTAGGTTTCCACTAATAGTTTTGCAAGTTACATACGTCTGCCTGCCTCATTTAGTAACAACCTCACTGTTCAGTAAGAAGGTAATGGATTTAATCCCAAAGCAGAACTTAGTTTTATGAATACAAGACAGGTCAGATTTCCAGAGTGGAGAAAATTACGCTTTTAGAGGTATGCTGATCTTCAGCTGAAATTTAATATGGAGATGACACCTAAGGATTTGCGGGATTTTCCCTATTTACTTCTATTTAGCAATCAATTTAAGAATCTACAGTACTTATTTGTGGCCCATAAAATACGTAGAATAGCATCTTTCAACCATAGCAAATAAAACAAATGTAATACGATAATTTCTATAATTAGTATAGTAAGCTGAAAAGGCATTGATTGTTCTGAACACATAGGTGAAAAACAGTTTGTTCCTTATATGTTAGTGGATCACTGTAATGATATGTCAAAAAGCAAAATTTACATTTGCTGGCTCTAAGTAAGTGTGATTTAAGAAAAATACACAGTACAGTGGAAAGCATCTAGGAATAGAGGAATCGACAAAAGAATTCTAGTCTCATTTCTACTTGAAATTACTTCAGAAACTAAACTATCTTTTGTTTTTGCTTTCCCCACTGCATTTTATATTTACCTCTCTTATGTCATTTAACCATCGCTATGGTATTTCAAGTTATATCTATGTATATCTCGCATTTCCCATCTGGACTAGCCTCCTTAAGAGCAGAGCAAACATCTGATTTACATTTTTATCTTCTACAGAGCAAAGCTAGGCTGAGAACTTCATGAGAAAAGGGACTTTGCCTGTGTATCCCCAGGAGTTAGCATGATGTGACCTCACAGTATGTGTCTAATAGTAGATGTTACAATAAATAAAAAACTTGAAAAGAATGTCATGCTTTCAAAATAAAAGAAAATGGGGATATTCTTTAAGAACCTGATGGAATCTCAAGACTGGCCTCCAATATCTGGTATTTAAAGCAGTTGAGTTTCTCTTTAAATATAGAGACATCAGCACCTAAAACACCAATCAAAAAATTCTACCGTGTTTTGCCAGCAAACCAGCACTTACCAAACACTTCACAGGTATTGATTTGACTTTGAAAGCTATCAAAATGTATGGGAGATTTAATGTTTTTCATGTTACTTTCCAAGAGAAAGAAAGCACATAAATATAGTTTATGTTATGTTGGTTGTTTCTAATCACAAATGTACAGGTACAACTAATAATCTAAATGATTAAATTGATAAAAACATCAAACAAGTAATTTACTGAGCACTAAGCACATGAATAAAAAGTACTCTGTTGTTTGCTCTCATTGATTAAGTTTTGTAGGTTAAGGAAAAAGATGTGAGAGCAAAACAATCACTTAAGAAATTATCTATGGCTCAAATTTTAATCTGCAACAATGAGACATTTACCCATAGGTTCCATGTATTTATTTAGTCATCATTTTCTCTGACAAAACATCTCCAAAATGATGTCACTGGCCAGGCTGGAACTCACCCAGGCACTTTTTGTACTTCTTGCTTAAATACACCACAAGCACATATAACGAAGGGGGTTTTGTCATGCAAAATGAGACTGAACAAAGAATTATTAATCCAGTTCAAATTACTGTAACTTAATAGTAGAATTAACACCACAGTAATCTGTGCCATGAGAAAATGTTATT
Source organism: Homo sapiens (assembly GCF_000001405.40). Lineage (NCBI taxonomy): Eukaryota > Metazoa > Chordata > Mammalia > Primates > Hominidae > Homo > Homo sapiens. The sequence goes on from NT_187556.1 coordinate 669,633, forward strand.
AACATCAATGATTCAAAGATAGATCTTTAACAACTTAGAAAAAATAACTACATGTATGTTATTTCGTAGTTACGAGGAAAAAGAAATATATCACAGATATACTACTTGCTGGATTTATCAACAGTTACTTCTATGTTGTTATTGTTCTTGTTTTAAAGTACAACTGACAGTCTGATTCCTTAAAGAACTATCTACACAGGAAACAAGTTGTGAACAGGGTTGAATACAGGCAATCTGACTTCAAAACCCATATTTTTAAGGAGTGTGCTAGATTAATTTTTATTGGGGGTTTTAATTTGTTTTGTGGAGGCTGACTCTGTTGAATCAGAACTTCTTTCCAGTGCTAAGTTAAGCTCCTATGACAGATTCTCATGAAATCAGTACAATGATAATGCATTGTGAGAGTGACCTGGTGATGACAGCCATCAACCCACTTTTGTCAGAGTTGAGCCCACTGATCTTGCAACAAGTGCTCTAGCATTAGTTTCACACACTCCCATCCACCTACCTACCATATCATATATGCAGCCCTCCTGGGGCTGTGGACCCTGAAAAAGCAGATGGCTCTCTCTGACTGAAGAGAAATATCCTTATGCTCCGGAATAATAGAATCAACTTGTATCTAATGAAAATCCATTGAAAACTCAATAAACATACAACCTTGAACTGAAAATCTTACCTGTGGAACCATGCCTACAATGTAGGAGGCTTTTAATAAAACAGAAAACTCAACTCAAGACAAAGCAATTAAAGCAAAGCATTTCTTTTTTCCCCTTCAAGAATAAAGACAAACCTAACTTAAAGACATAATTCATTTTTAAAAGGCAGAAATAAAACTATTAGTTTATATATTGCTTGCTGACCATCATAAAATATACTTTTACATAAATGTATTCTCTTTAGGCTTTATAATAAGCTACAAATAAACAAGTCCTTTAAAAGTTTAAATCTCAAGGTCTAACACAAAATTGACCTTTTAAAGAAATAACAGCATCCAGGGACGGAACCTCATAGTGAGGGTTACTGAACAAACTCTCCAAACTAGTAAATGAACCTTTTTTTTGTTAAGAGCATATAAACTCAGTCACAGAATCATAAAGTGGGTACTGACACTATTGATTGTCTGATTTAATCATAATTCAATGAATCATTTCTGAAACAAACATCCAAAGCTTTGTGAATAACTTATCCTTTTTGGCTTATTTTTATATGTCATTTAATTTATTCAATTAATTAATCAAAATTAAAATAATTAATGAAAATGCCTCCCCCTTAACATAGTTCATGAAACTCTACATCACATTTATTTCCCAAATGTTACTTTCAAAAAGTCAGTAAATCAGTCCAGTCTGAAGATTACAATAAACTCAAAAAGGCTATTTCTTCCTGAACAAAGCTGTAGGAAAGAATCTGTCAATAAGTAGCTCTTTGTCAAACCACCAACAAATTTTGGACCTAAACTTATTTTAACACATAGAAATACTTTCTCTAGTTTGAAGGTTTTGTGCCAATGTCTCCAAACACTTCCTCATCAACAGGGTGGGGAAGAAAGAGGGGCAATCTCTCATTACCATGGGATGCATATGTATATCTATGTATGACACTTCCCCAATAATGGGGGTGGGGGAGGCAAGAGGGCAATCTCTCATTACCATGAGATGCATATTTACATCTATGTATTACACATATAGTGAGAACTGATGACATCAAAACATACACCAGAAAAGTACAGATGATTACCTGATATTCATTGGGCCAAAAGGTGCTCACTGCTAGCTCAGCCCGAAGCCAATCTCTACCCGTGAATCCAGTCACATTCCAAATTGGATTGGCAAGAGGTCCTTTATTCACCCTAACTAATATGTTCAAAGTGCCAGGATTCAGTCCTTTCTGGCTATATAATAGGTAACTGAAATCAATGCAGTGAGTGTCGTTCTCCTTCATTGTAGGCAGCTGAAGTCTGGCTTTTTCTCCAGGGTCGTGATCTGAAGAGTCCACTATCATATAGGAACCTGAAATGACATTACAAATAATAATGCTAAAGAGATATATAAGCAAAGGGAACATATAACAATAAAAATATGCTAATCCATTCTGAGCATTAAATTTAAGTTAAAAAGACTGTTTTCCAGAACACAGCCACAGAAATACATCAATCAAATAAGTAGATGAACTGAATTCTTACTAGGTAACAGACAGTGTTCAAAGTACACATTCTGTATCAATTCATTTAGTCTCCACAACAACCTGTTATTATCCTATTTTACAAATTAGGAAATTGAGGCACAATTAGTAACACTCAAAGCTGGGTTCAAATCCAGATCTCACTCTAAATCTCTGGTATTACTGAACACAAGTCTTTTAATATAATATATATATATATGTATACACACATACACAAAAGCGATACATTATTGGCCTGGTTTACACAAAGGGTACACCTTTATTTTTCGCTATCCAGAATATTATTGCAGGGAGATGTGCTTAGAGTGCAAACAATGGAACCATTTCTAATTTCGTATTGGAAAATCATCATTTATACAAGTTATGTGATCATTTGTAACATACTAACTTTGAACCTCAGTTCAGGGAATGAGGACACTTTGTAGTGTCAGTATGAGGGCTAAAGTTAAAAATGCCTAGAGCTGAGGATCAGGACACAGCAGATTTCCCCACTTGGAGTCTCACCCACTAAGGTGTCAGCTAATCACCACTGCTACTGGCCCCAGTTCTGTAACAGTCCCTAAACTCTTGTAGAGCTACAAGAAACCCAGTTTAAAATCACCAATCTACTCTATCCCTTTGACTTAGTAAGTGTTCATTGGTTATCTGTCATGAGGAGGCACAGGACATAGAGTCCCACTCTCATAGCTCACATATAGACTTTCCATTGCAGACAAAGGCCACACAGAGACTAAGTACAAAAATGAGACTTGAACAACGGGCTGCTGCTTTTAGTCCCAGAAAACTCTCCAGTAAGACAACCAATTGTTCTCATGTCATTGTGGATTTTAACAAAGACACATATCACAAAAATGCAAATATGCCTATTTATTACACAGAAGATGGAACACAAATTTTATTGTAAAATATCTTTTTTCTTTGCTAGCATGTAATTTTAACCAAAATATATCAGATGTAGTGTTATAAAACTCAGTGTTATAAGAGTTGCACTTGACCCTTTCTTCCTGACAACATGTAAAAGTAATCAATCTTCTGCATTCCCTCCCCAAAATTTGTACCCATGACACATTAACCACTCAATAACTACTAGTCTAACTTGTTCAATTAACCCTCAACAACAGATGCAAATCATGGCAGAGAGGATGGTGTCAACTATTTGAGAAGCCAAATTTCAAATGTGACCGATTGCCACTGAGTGGTAGGTAGCCTCTGGTTGAGAGCTTTTGGGAAGATTTCTGTAACACTTCAGTATAATCGAAGTACAGAATAAACAGATCATAGTGATAGTGGCTGATATTATTGTTCACTTCTTTTTCCTAGTTATCATCTTCTCTTGTAAGCTAGGATTCTTTTTTTTTTCTCTCTTTCTTTCTTTCTGAGTCTCACAGACGGCACATTAATAGAATAAACTGTCCGTGTGTATTTTGGAGAAATTATGTCTTTATTTTTAAAAAGGATATCCTGGATCCCAACCCAATTTATAGAAGCAGGATGTTTCTATTCTTTATTATATTCACATTCTGAAGTCAATGGTTGATTTGGCAAGATGTCTTTCAGATTTGCCACTGCATAGCAGACCAATCATTCCTTTCAACGAGGACCAGCCCTGAGATCTTGGATAAGTTACCTAGTGTTTGTTACTGGGCCTCAGCATCTTCACAAACCTGTAGCCTATTTCTCCACTACTATAACAGTTCCACCCCCTCCCCTCAGTGGAATATTATGGCAGTAGTGCATTTAAATTATTTTTAGAGGTCTGTATCAATTATGGCTTCTGAATGTCAACTTTAAAGTAGTAATCTCTAAATGATTTATTGGCTTTCTAATAGTCATTTTTTCCTATTATAAAATAAACTTTGGAGTAAAAATATGCTTTGTGTCACATTTTAATTATATAGCATAATATTTACTATAAAGACCATTTAGGAATTTTCAGTCAGTTGTACCCTTAAGCTACAATAATTATCTGTCTTATTAGGGAAACCGGATGGGCAAGGTATATTCATTTGTAGGCATTATCAATTTGATCACTAGGAAGACAAAAGTCACAAAATAAAAGCTTGTCTACACTATTTCAACATTTCAAGCAAGTTAAATAATAAAGAAAAATAGTGTTGATAATTCATCTCTATAGAATGTTTCCGCTAAATGGCCCTCTTTCAATAATGCCTGACTACTGCCACATTCTCCGAGTGCTCTGGAATAATAATGCATTTATTGCACAGTTCCAGAAAGGAGGAAGAAAGCACTAGCACCAAAAAGCCATCTAAATCTTTCTGCCTACTGACTTGATATAACGGCAATTTACCCAGTAGGCACTAGGGAGGAAGCTGCCTGTCTGAAACAAAATTCCCTTCCATCATCCCAAACACAGAAGATACTGTGCTATTCTTATCAACATCTAAAAATCACTTCTGTAGTCTCCCAGAATAACTGGCTCCCAATCCTTACACTTGGGAAATTATACAATATGTACTTCTCTCATACTTTATGTTATAATTTAAGCTTATTTACGATTGTTCTGTTACCAGCTAACTAATTCCTCAGATTTCTAACAAGAGTTTAGTTATCTCAAGGCTTAATAAAACATCTATGTTCCCACACATACAATGTACTAGCTTTTAATTAAAACTTCTTTAAAGTGGCCTTACAAATATTCCTTACAGTCTCTTGATCAATAGAGTTCTCAAATATATCATTCAACACAGAGAAAACTATATATGCTTTTTGTTTGTTTTAAGTGCAACCTTTATAGACAGCAATTTGACATAAAAGACCTTTAAGAGATATTCATGAATAAAACATCAAAAGCAATTGCAACAAAACCCAAAATTGACAAATGGGATCTAATTAAACTAAAGAGCTTCTGCACAGCAAAAGAAACTACCATCAGAGTGAACAGGCAAACTACAGAATGGGAAAAAATTTTTACAATCTATCCATTTGACAAGGGAATAATATTCAGAATCTACAAGGAATTTAAACAAATTTACAAGAAAAAAACAAACCCATCAAAAAGTGGGTGAAAGATATGAACAGACACTTTTCAAAAGAAGACATTTATGCGGCCAACAAACATAAAAAAAAAGGTCATCATCACTGGTCATTAGAGAAATGCAAATCAAAACCACAATGAGATACCATCTCACGCCAGTTAGAATGGTGATCATTAAAAAGTCAAGAAAAAACAGATGCTGGAGAGGATGTGGAGAAATAGGATGTTTTTACACTGTTGGTGGGAGTGTAAATTAGTTCAACCATTGTGGAAGACAGTGTGGTGATTCCTCAAGGATCTAAAACTAGAAATACCATTTGACGTGTCAATCCCATTACTATGTATATATCCAAAGGATTATAAATCATTCTGCTACAAAGACACAGGCACACGTATGTTTACTGCAGCACTATTCACAATAGCAAAGACTTGGAACCAACCCAAATGTCCATCAATGGTAGACTGGATAAAGAAAATGTGGCACATAAACACCATGGAATACTGTGCAGCCATAAAAAAGGATGAGTTCATGTCCTTTGCAGGGACATGGATGAAGTTGAAAACCATAATTCTCAGCAAACTATCACAAGAACAGAAAACCAAACACCACATTTTCTCACTCATAAGTGGGAACTGAACAATGAGAACACATGGACACAGAGAGGGGAACACACACCAGGGCCTGTTGGGAGGCAAGGGGAGGGAGAGCATAAGGAGAAATACCTAATGTAGACAACGGGTTGACGAGTGCAGCAAACCACCATGGCACATGTATACTTATGTAACAAACCTGCACATTCTGCATATGTATCTCAGAACTTAAAGTATATTTTAAAAAAAGAGATACATACCTTCTGATCTGGGAATTCCATGTCTACAAATGTATACTAAATAAACCATCAGGTATGTATAAAAGATACAGCTTTAAAAGATGCCTAACTCATTACACTATTTAAAACAGAGAAAAATTAAGTATTCTCAATATTCAATAATCAGTAATTTGCAAAATTACAGCAAATCAATTTAATGAACAATAATGCAGTCATTAAGAATAATATTATTTTAAAACATTTTATGGAAGATATTTACAATATGTTAAGTAAAATATGCAGGTTATAAAATATTAAACCCACTTATGAAAAATACATATTTGTGTTAAATAATTATATCTGTGTAAATGTGTGTATATTCACATATGCACACACATACACTTGTACATATGACTGGAAAAATATGTAGCAAAATCTTAACGGTATATTATCTGGTGGGCTGTAATTGTCTTCTAGGTTTTCAAAAAAGTTTTTGCATATGTACAGTTTCTGAGAGTTCTATAATGAATAGGCATTAGATTTGCACATTTTTATTAAAACAGAGACTACATGAATACTATCTTACAAGAGGAAAATCAAATGAATAATGATAAATAGTAAATAAACACAAGCGTGTTTTTTAAATCTTTTAAAAATAAATTCTATTTGTATTTATAGGATACAAATAGGATCCTATAAATAACTAAATATTTCAAAAAACACAATACAAAAATTGAGTACTTCTTATTCCAATTCATTAAAAAAGAGAAAGGCAGAGAAGACTTAAAACAAATGACAGTTTTTACTAAAAAGAATGGGCAAGGAAAATAACATAATCTAGTATATAGATGAATATGTAATGCCCTATGGATTTTATACATTAATTATTTTTTATCTTTAAGTTACACTTCTATGAATAAGGTATTTACATGGGAAATTGGATCAATAGCAAAGAAAATAATTCATGATAAATAGATTTCCATACTTTCTTCTAAAACTCCTTTATATATGTATGTGTTGGTATACTTTAGTACACTAACATAATATTTGTATTGTCAGTTCTTATTTAAAATCTGTTGAATGTGCCCTATAAACTAAAAGCAAAATTTCAATTTCTTTGCCTAGTATTCACAACTTTCCATGATCTTATCCCAAAGTAACTGGTCATTTTACCTCCCACTTCTCTTCACAAACCACCTTCTCCAGTCTGACAGACCCCTCATTATTTTCTCCACACATCATGCCAGTTTTCTGTCCTCAAACTGTCTCACAGTTTCTAAATGTCTGATTCTGGCCCCCAATTATACATTGCTTTTGTGCCAATTTTAAATGATTTACTGGGATATCTCTTGTCAACCTCAGAAGGGTAATTTTGTTCTCTTAGAAAGCACCTGAATTATTCAGAGTCCAATCAGAAGAGAGAAGCCACACAGTAAATTTAACAGTGAAAATGTAATATAAAGAATTACTACCTATAAGAAGATAGAAACTTTAACGCTGTGAAGAAAACCTTAAAGAACAATCAAAGTACCCAAGAAAGAAACCAATATAGACAGGGGAGGTTGCTGAGAATCAGATTTCCTTAAAGAAGGTGCAGTTGCAGCTCACGGGAAGATAAAGTCTGCTGGGTCACTCAGGCCAGAGCCAATCCTGCTCTAGGGAAGCTAGGGAAACAGGACACATTCTCCCTGCAGCAGAGTGGCATGAGGCCTGGGGTATGTGTGTGCCACAGCAAGGCAGTCACCAGGCCAGGTTTGTTGCTACAAGCTCACTGAGGGACTATGTCTGCTACATGCACACAGCTCCGTCCACTGTGCAGTACCACCAACTAAAAACAAACTTAGGATCACAATTCAACCAAGAATAGATGATCCTTCTTTCTTAAGTGTCTCTCCAGTGCCCTCTACTGACAAAGCTTAACACTGTGCCAGCTGTAAAGCAGAACCGCTTAAAGGGTCAAGTGCTACTATGACAGGGCAGGTAATGAAGGACAAATTTTAAGCTCCGGGGCAATAAATTGATAACTGGCACCCTATCTAACAAGGGCTTTGCATACAGTAGAAGTCTAATAAACACTTGTTACTTGATTAGTTAGATTACCAATTGAATGAGGAGACAAAGACACTAGTTAATAACATGAACAATTGAGGCAGCACTAGTTCTAACTATATGTGAGATAAATTACCAGAAAATGTCAAAACAACAACAAAAAGAAAAACAAATGAAACTAGTTTATGCTGCTTCCAAACATAAGGATTTAATGAACGAGTATAATGTTTGGAAGTACATATTTAATGTATTTGTCAGAGTCACGCTGGTATATATAAGAAACCTTATATTAGAACAAAGGTTCTCAAATGTTTTAGTCTCAGGACCCCTTTATACTTGTGATACTAAGGATATCAAGCAGCTTTTGTTTCTGAGTTATATCAATATTGACCATATTAGAATTTAAAATGGAAAAATCTCAAAAATAATAATTTAAGATTAGCAATGATCTCATAATTTACTATATTTTCATGAAAAATAACCATTTCCCAAAATAAACAAAAAAGATAGTAAGAAGTAATAAGCATTGTTTTACTTTTTACAAATCTCTTTAGTATCTGTCTCAATAGAAGGCAATTAGATTCTCATTTTTACTTCATCTTTCAATCTGTTGTAGTATCATACATTATGTAACCTCTGGGAAATTCTTCTATTCATTCATCAGAAAATGAAAGAGAAAAAAGGAAAACTATATTTCAATGTTATTGATAAGCAATTTTGACCTCATGGATCACCTGAAAGAGTATGAGGGTCTACAGAGATCTTTGGATCACATGTAGAGAACCCTATATTTTAATATACATAAATCTTTTTATCGCTCTGCTCTAATGAGAACACTATTAGTGCTTTTATTTATGTTGAGTCTACTTCACTCATTCAGTCTCTGCAGGGTATAAAGATGTACTCTATAAAATCAGTTAGAAAACAAAATCCTTCACCAGAGTGTTGGATGTCTGAAGAATGAAGATGAAAAAAGTTGAAATTTTCTACCCTAGTACGAAGGATATATTAGTCAGGATTCTCCAGAGAAAAGGAATATATAGATAAACACACACACACACACACACACACACACAATATTACAAGGAATAGACTCATATGATTGTGGAAGCTGAGAAGTCCAGACTCAGGACAGGAGAGCTGATGGTATAATTCCAATCCGAGCCCAAAGGCCTGAGAAACAGGACAGTCAATGGTATAAATTCCAGTTCAAGTCCAAGTCTGAGTCCAATAACCAGGAGAGCCATTGGTGTAAGTTCCAATCTGAGTCCAAGTCCAAAGGCAGGAGACTGATGTCCCAGCTTGTAAACAGTCAGACACAGAGGGATTTCTTACTCCTTATTCATCTCAGTACTTCAAGCGATTGGATGAGGCCCACCCACAGTGGGAGGGCTATCTGCTTTACTCAGTGTACCATTTCAAATGTTAATCACATCCAGAAACATACACACACACACACATCCCTAGAAATAATGTTTAACCTAATATTCGGGCACCCTATCGCTGAGTCTAATTGACACACAAAATTGACCGTCACAAAGGGCTTTCTTCCACTCTAGTCTCTCAACATCAGAGAATCAGATTGTTATGTATGAGCGGAGGAGTACAGAGGACTAAGTAATATTCTATCCTCATAAGAAAAGTATTTTTATGTGTTCTGGAGACCATCTTGAATAGCTACCAAAGCACCAACGCACTGTGCAAAACAGCTAGCTCTTGGCATTGAGTGAGATTTTCCCAGTAGTAACAAAGAACATGCCAGAAACTGTTGGTGTAAAAAAACTAAAGACACTATACAATAATATTGCTTCATGCCCAGACAGCTTAAGAAGCAATAATCAGGATCTCTAAGTAGAAAGAAGAGTGACAAGTGAAATCATGATTTGGGTCTCAGCCCATCGGGGATATTTTTTTTCTTTGTTATAAAATTAATCTCTCTAAGTACTTCTGTTGCTATTACCTTTGTGCTGAAGGCAATGCCATTACCCTCCTTTTCATATCGTTCATCTTTTCATTTCCTTTTTTCAAGCCTCTTCTCCTACCACTATTTTTTTCATCTGATTAAGTGGCAACAAATATAACCAATTATTAAAACTAAGGACTCAATGATCAAACTAGGAATCAGTTTGATTTTTCCCCTTCCTTCACTTTCCTCTTTTAATTAACTAGCAATTCTCATTGTTTCTATTTTCAAGCTCTCTCCTCAATCCATTCACGTCTCTTCATATCCACTAGTTTTACCAAACTCCTATTACCTCTCAGGAGGACAAATAGAATGGAATCCTAGCAAGTTTTATGATTTCCACACTAGCAGCCCTACAATCGTTTCTGATACATAGCCAGGTTAATTTTTTTAAATCTTTCTCATACATTGCATTGAGAATAAAATCCAAACTCTTTAGCCCCACCCCTCAGCTTCAACATGATCTGGTGCCTGCCTTCCTCTCCAACATTATTTCTTACACCTCTCTTCCCTTACACAAGATGTTTCAGATACAATGGGCTTTTTTTCTGAAAAACAAAAACAAAAACAAAAACAAAAACAAAAACAAAACAAAACAAAACAAAAAAACACCTAAGTTTATGCTTGTCTCAGTCTCCATGCACTGGACCTTCCTCTGTTTGAAATGCTCTGTCCTCAGCTGGCTGATTTTCATCATTCATCTATTGGTGCAGCATTCCTAGGTCTGTTAAAGTAGTTCCTTCCAGGGTTCTTTCTAACATATCACTTTTTATTATTTCCTTTATAGCACTTTCCACTTACTGAATTTATTTGTTTACTTAATTGAAAAACTCCATGAAAAGTTGGGATTTCATGTATGTTGTTCATCCAAAAATCTAGAACAAGGTCTGGAGTATTCAGTTTGAAGTTGGATGTTTTATAAAAAAGTCGGACAACTATCTATTTGTGTTTCCTGCCCTGCATTCCCATAGCACTTACATAATGCTCTTTTATGTACAAAATATACCATATCTGTCTGTGCATCCCCAAAACCCTAGTGCAAGCTTTTTAAGATTAGAAACCTCTTTGGCCTCGCCAGCCCCTAACAGAGGGACTGTGTAACCTGTAAACTTGGCAAGCTCCACTGAAGGTAAGCAAAAATATTTTTTTAAGTATTGTTTTTTTTTCAAAGATAGTCAAAGAGAAAAAAAAAGAGTAAAATTTGAAATGATAATAAGCAAAATTTTCAATCTTGAGAATAACCCTAAAATACTCCATTAATTTGGTTAGACGGACATCAGTGCCATCACTTTTTGTACAGTCTAGTTTTAATTCTTCGAGCTTTTACATTCTATTACTTCTTAAGATGGATGCTTCTCTTCTAATGAGGTCTATCCCCTACATCATACAGTTTGTTTCTAAGACAGTATGAGGCAAATATTACAAAATGTCAGAAAAAGTTAGAAAAAGTAAACTTGTCCCCCAAACTTCAAATTAACTGAATTTGCATCTTTGCAGGAGTCTACTTCCAACAACTTTAGTATCCGTGACATGTCCCTCCCATTGCCTTGTAAAAATATAAACCTGTTTCCTTCACAGTCCGAATGACAAAATTTCTCTTGATCTCTGAGGAAGTGCTTTGTATTTGTTCTAGGTAGCCAGTTTACATTTGAAAATAGAAAAATGTATGGATTTAAGATAATAGCTTCTAAAAACCTTCAGGCAACACAAAAAAACTAAAATGAAAGTTTCAGTAGAAAGTAGCAAATTTCTCCTTCTTAGGAAGTGGGTGTCCTCATGGAATTTACCCGCTACACTACACATTAAGATTTAGAAACCTGGCCAAGCATTGTTTTATAGTTTAATCCCCTTCCCCTACTACATCTTAAGGAGACAAAAAACAAGTACTTGGCCATTACTTTGACGAACAAAATTTCCAGTTTCATCTTTATGACATAGGAAACCTATGTCATAAATAGTTAAAAGGATTAGTGCCATCTGTTTCCTATTTAAAAGTGGCTAATTTTATAATAGGTTTTGATTTCCTTTCCAGTACCTTCCAGGACTCCAATTTTCCCTACTTCCTACACATCTATTTACTTGTTTATCCTGGGCAAATAATTTAACCCCTCTCTGTCTTGTTTCCTCATCTTGAAGTGCCCACCCCACTGAGGTCCGGTGTGAGGACTAAATGAGACTACCTCCATGATGTGCGAAGGCACACTGACGAGAGGAATAGATGGGTCTTCAATACTTGTTCCTTTAGACGTACTCATTCCTTCTTCCACCAAACAGTAAAGAAAATAAAACTAGAAAATGTATGAAGAGAATACTTTCGAAGTTTAAAAATGAGATGACAATGTTAAAGGGTGGTACACTTAAAAACTTCCAACTTAATGGCACTTAACCTTCATAACCTTTCTTAACCCTTCCCTTCACAACTCTACCTATCCCTTTCATCCCAAAGTGAGTCAGGCCTCTTTCTCAGTCTTATCCTTCCTATTCCTCTATAACCCTCCCTCTCTCACTCTTTCTTTGAAATCTGAAGTAAATTTAAAGTATTGTTGCCTCAACGCCCACTCCAAGAAACACACACACTTACTTCACCAACAATTTCAAAGGACTCATTGATCTAAGTTTAAGAACTCTTGTTTTAAGATTTTTCCAATTTCTGAAATCATGGCACTCTCCTACAGCTATCCAACCTGCACAGCTTTTATGTTACATAGTAGTGAAAAGTTTTGAGAAGTAGCTGCTAAAAAGAAAAGCAACTTAAGAGAAAATAATCAGTAACATGACCCAAAAGGCAATAAAGGCTTTGTCCTGTGGCCAATTTTGTAATCATCACTCACCTTTCCAAAAGATCCAAGATTGAAATGAACAATTAAAGGTAAGAGAAGGTAGTGTGGCCTGTATTCCCTGGAAACTGCCTGAAGACTAAAAATCATGCTAACAATTCCCACCTGTTGTCTGGATATACTTCAACACTGTTAAACATTAAAGACCAGAACTGAAGGTCTAAAGAGAATGAGTGCACAACACATCTATGATTTCTATGTAAATGAATATTCTCAAAGTCAAAACATTCTACTCGGTAGTCACATTATTTCTGAAGGTACCAAATTTTTATTTTTTGTTTCCCACTGCATATTAAAGTTATGTTTATACAATACTGTAGTCCATTAAGTGTGCAATAGCATCATGTCTAAAAAAAAGGTATATAAGATATATAAAATATATACCTTAATTTTAGAATAGTTTATTGCTAAAAAAAATGCTAACAATCATCTGAGCCTTCAGCAAGTCATTATCTTTTTGCTAGTAGAGGGTCTTGCCTCAATGTTGAGGGCCTTGCTCTGGATTAGGCTTTGGCTTAAGGGAATGCTGTGGCTGGTTTAATCTCCTATCCAGACTACTAAAACTTTCTCCCTGTCAGCAATAAGGCTGTTTCACTTTCTTATCATCTGGGTGTTCACTGGAGTAGCACTTCCAATTTCCTTCAAGAACTTTTCCTTTGCATTCGAAACTTGGCTAACAGGAACAAGAGGCCCAGCTATTGGCCTATCTCAGCTTTGATATGCCTTCCTCACTAAGCTTAATCATTTTTAGCTTTTGATTTAAAGTGAGAGACCTGCAGTTATTCCTTTAAGTTGATAATTAAAGGGCCACCGTAGGGTTACTAATTGGCTTAATTTCAATATTGTTGTGTCTCAGAGAACAGGGAGGGCTGAGGAGAGGAAGAAAGACGGGAACAGCCAGTAGGTGGAACAGTCAGAATACATACAACATTTATCAGTTAAGCTCACCATCTTATACGGGAGCTGTTCGTGGTGCATGAAAAAATTACAACAGTAACATCAAAGATCACTGATCACAGATCACCATAACAGATATAATTAACAATAATCAAGTATGAAATATTGTGAGAATTACCAAAATGTTACATTTTGTTACACAAAATGAAATACTGTGAGAATTTCCAAAATGTTCAATTTGTAAAACATACAATATCTGCAAAGTACAATGAGGCAAAGCACAATAAAACAAGGTATGCCTGTAGCTGTACTGAATGATGTAAGTTTCCTTCCAACTCAACTAGTCTATTATTCTGAAAGTTCCCACTTTTCAGACAACATAACCTAGAAGAACTAAAGTACTTTTAGTACAAGAAGTACATGAAGAACAACTAGACCTTACTGTGACTCAAAACTAATAACAATTATAACTATTCAATTTTATAACTGTAACAATGGTCACTGCTCTCCTGAATAAGTAAATGGCAAGTAATGATCAATTAGAGAAGAATTCAGATTGAACAAAGTTTTTCAACTCAGTTCTCAGGAACAAGGATCATCAGGTCACAGGGGCAGTTCAATTGGCCACCAAAGAAGTTTCTTCCTTTATTAAACTTTAAGTCCACTGAAGTTCTTAATACAATAAAAGACACTTCATGAAATATTCAAAAGGAAGGAAAAATATAATCTCCCCCATCACCCAAATAAAAGCATATTCCTGTTTATGAAATGGTTAAGGCCAAGCGCGGTGGCTCACGCCTGTAATCCCCGGACTTTGGGGGCTGAGGAGGACTGTTCACGAGGTCAGGAGTTCAAGACCAGCCTGGCCAACATGGTGAAACCCTGTCTCTACTAAAAATACAAAAATTAGCCAGGCGTGGTGGCGGGCACCTGTAATCCCAGCTACTCGGGAGGCTGAGGCTGGAGAATCGTTTGAACCCAGGAGGCGAAGTTTGCACTGAGCCAAAGCCATGCCACTGCACTTCAGCCTGGGCGACAGAGTGAGACACTGTCTCAAAAACAAAAAACAAACAAACAAAAGAAATGGTTAAGAATTCAGGCTCTGAAGTCAGAGGCCTAAATTAACAGCCACGTTCTGTCACTTTCCACTATGTCTCCTCTCTACCATCTTACTGATGAAAATCTGAGGCCTGGAACAGATAAATGTCTTAGATATAATAAAAGCACTGTTTGAGTGGATTGTTGCAAGGATTACGGAAGTGGGAACTGTCAAAGGAAAACATCTTTTCATTTTTTTATTTACAAAGTACTATCACCTAAGCCAAAAATCGGTCTGCTTGTTTGAAACAGTTCTGCCTTAGAGGTTCTAAGACAAGAAAAGGAAAATAAAAGCAAAAGGGAATGATAACAAAAAAAAAAAAAAAAAATGAGAGACTGGGCATAGCAAAATGAAGAAAAGAGCTCAAGTAGTAGAAGGAAAAAGGGATGAAATAAGTGCTTACACTTTAAAATGTTAAGTTCTGAGAAGATGAAAGAAAAGAGAGGAAAACAGGGTGGTAGAGAAAATAGGGTTATTTTATTTTTCATCTCACCAGTAGCTTCATAAACCATACAAATATAATAAAAGAAACTGAGATCCTAGGATATAAAAAAGTAAAAGCGAATGGTGCCATCTCCTCAAATTTTGAGACTGTTGCTTTTGGTCACAAGATCGTCAACTATAGCTCAAGGTTTTGGTATAAAATATATACTTAAAGAAAAAAAAAACCTGAAACCCTTGTAAAATCCCCTCAGTCTACATTAACTTAAGGCAGCTTTAATGGAATTAGTGGTCTCCAATAATTGAGCAAAGTATAATATTAAATCATATCCCAGGTCTCTGGGATAGGCTATTCTACTTTCAGTGCTAGCAATGCAGTTATTTTGAAAAACAAAATTTAAAAAATAGCCAAAACACATCTGGTCAATTATGAAATGCCACATTGACCAATGGTGAGGAAAGGAAGAGCAAGCAAATACTTCTCTGATTGTAGCATACAATTAATTCAACTTTGTCTTAACAAATACAATCACCCAAAGATATTCCTTCAACAAAACATTCCTTTTAAACATAACCAGAAAAGCTGCATGACGCAAGTGACCTCCATTCCAACAGTGTGTTTTTTTTTTTGTTTTTTTTTGTTTGTTTTTTTGCCCTGAGAGCAACTGAGAATTGTACTTTAATGTTTTCATAAATGCTAACTTAAGGCTCAATGGGTAAACACAAACATTGAGAAATTGTAGAGTTTTAGTTCCCACACTAATTTTTTAAAGCTTCCCTCTGGGGTGTACTGTAGAAACTAAAATAAAAAATAACTTCAGCCAAAAGAAGTAACAGTTAGATCTCAGACCAACAATCAAGCACAGATGTCCTTCCCCTACCCCAAGGCGCTGGGAAAATGGGAGGTAATTTTTCTCTTACAGGAGGGAAGAAGAAACTTAATAGTTTCAAAAATTTCACTGTCACATCGTTCAATCTACTATTGTGATATACTTTCAGGCTTTCATTAACATTCATAAGCTAAATGGATGCAACTCAAGCATACAGACAGGATCAAATTTCTCTCCCTTGAGAATAACCATAAGCAAGAATATATCTCAAACATTTTCTTCTTCTAACTAAAATACCATCAAGTATCTCCCTAAGAACTGTTTCTGTAACTAAACAAACAAATAAACAAAAACTTCTTTTCCTTTACAATGATCCTACAAGCAGGGATTAAACTCTGCAAACACCATGAACTAGTAGTGATTGCTTCAGTGATGGTGACACACATTCACCAGTAACAACACAATTCTATTGGTTGAAGCAATTAACTGCATGCTCAAGCACAAGTAAGAATCATACATTCCATCTGGTGCTCAAAAATCCTCGCAAACTTGGTCCATAAAAACCTTGCCATGCTAACTTGCCATGAACCACCAGCATGAATTCATAGCTCATTAACAGTTCATGGTTCATAATAATAATAAAATAAGCATTTTTGCCTGGTGTGCCCCTTCTTCTTGCAAAGCTTGTATTCTCTTTTCTCCCCTAAGAACCTTTATTCCTACCTTCTTCATAAGCTCTTATGTCTGATTATACAACTTTTTAGTTAATAAACAAATTTACATTGCCCACTTTGTATTTGTTAGAATGTGTAGAATTTTCCAAGCTCAGCAGTAAACTTCTTAAGGGCTATTACCTCTCATTAGGCCTTTCTGTGTAGTGATCTACAGAAAGCTGATACTCCATCAGTGGAAGTGTTGATGGTGACTTACTGGCATATAAATAATTAAAAGAATAGCTTAAGACAGTAAAAATATTTAATTTACCCAATCCTCCAGTGAGAAAGTTACTGAATATGTAAAGTGCTAAATATTGTACAGGAAAACGTGAAGTGGAGAAGGGTTAAGTAACCTGCTCAGATCTCAGTTTGAACCTAACAATAAACTTATCTCCCTTAGCTCCTATATTATGCCACCTATCAAAGTGAACAAGAAGTTTATCAGCAAAAGGATCATGTGATGTAAATATTGTTAAAATTGCATTGAAAACCCATGAGGATGAATCTGAAATACTCTAACAGATACCATTTCAGTACTTTTCCTTCATGGGGCTTCTTCTGCATGGATGCAGCATCACACGAGTAATCAAAGCAACAACAAAATGTGTGCCAAATGAAACTGTGATGACCTCTACACAAGACAGTCTGGCTATGAAATCATGTAATGGGGAGATATGACCTCATCAGGAAGGTGAGAAAGTCTCTGAAAAAGTGATGTCTGAGCTGTGACCTGAAGAATGAAAGAGAGTTATTAGGAAGATCATTTCAGGCAAAATAAACCACTTGTGCAAAGGACCTAGAAGAGGGCCAAGTACAATGAATAAAAGAGACTGAAAGTTTGGCTGCAGAGGAGAAAATGGGGAAGATGACAATGGAGATCAAAGAAGTAAACAGACCAAGCAGGACTTGCAGGCAAAGATAAACAGTTTTGTCTTTATCTTAAATGTTATAGTTAAACACAGAAAAGATTTAAGCTGAATGAGATGAAGGTTGCTATCATAAGTCAGATTTTCATTCTGGCAAATAACTCTGGCCACAATGTATAAAACATATGAGTGATAGGGTGGTAAGCAAAATAGGTATGGGAGACCAGGAAGATAGTAGCTGTGGCAGTCAATAGAGGAAAAATGTTTTTAATTATAGTAATAGATGATGGAGGTGATGTGAAGCAGCCAATCAAGACCTATATAGGAGGTAAAAACAGCAAAATTGGTGATGCATAACATATACAAGAGACAGGTATCCAGAATATACAACTATATTTCTTGTTACTACACCCAAATATATAGCAGTGCCATTCCCTGAGCCATGGTACACTGGATGAAGATCAAGGCTGGGAAAAAGATGAGTTCAAGTTCTTCAATGTAAACAGCAGAATCCACTGTATCACTTTCAGCAAAAACAACCAGAAAAAAGTATTAAAGAACATTAGGAAGCCCAAATAATAACTCAAGTATATCCACCAGTGGAGACCTACTGCTGGGTGCAGACAACATTCTCCCAACACTCAGGCTAGGTCCTGTGCTTTGCTGCCCCTGGAAGTCTATGCTTCCCCTCTGCAGAAGGAAATCTTTATGCTGCCTCCTCTTACTCAATAGCTTCCTAATCAATGTTCTTATAGGTATTCTGAATTGTGATTTGGTCACCTGTTGATGTCCTAGTTAAGGATGGCTGAAAAGGTGAGTGTTTTACTTCTTTCTGGGGCTATAAAAACTCATAAGGCAAGAGATTCACCAAATATAGGAAAAACTGCCGTAAACAAAAACAAATACTATCTAAAGAAGGGGAGGCATTAATTTTGTTGAGACATCCCAGCAAAGATGCTACAAACATATTTGTAAATCATCTACATATGCATTTACACATATAAATCCCATAATGCTATTATGTTTTTTGCTTTTGAAAAGTTTTCAAAAAAATCTTAAATATTTTATAAATAAAATATAAGAGTCAATTTACTTTATCAAAATAATGCTGCTCTGTATTTTATTATGGAGCATGGAATGTAGCAATCTGATTACAAACCTTTTTTCAGTAAAATACTACAGAGGACAAGGGAAATAAAATTCATTCTAAGCTTCTAACTTACACAGCTAACTTTTAAAATTAATAAATTTTCTTATTTTTTACCAATATGTTATTTCAATAGTGATTAACAATTTGGGTGACTTCCAGGAACCCACAACAGACTCTATCGGCAGTTAAATTAAAGCCATTTAATCTTGCACTAACAAGCCCATGTAACTAATTCAGGTATCTGAAGCATATTCACCTCTTGACCCTCACTAAACACATCTTGAATCTGAGTAGCCATCTACTAATGTATTTTTCCCAAATATAAGACCAAAATTCCCCTTTGAGTGTGTTATATATTTATCCTGATCAGCATTCAATTCAAAAGACAATGTGTTTGGGGTAAGAAAAAACTGACAAGCTGCTACAACACACATATGTATCTGGAGAGGCAAAATTGCAACTAATTGTGATTGAAACACAATCATAATTTTCCTCCCCACGGTAGCTTTGGCAAAAATTGCTTCCTGGAACACAGAAAAAAAAATATCCTTCTGTACCTAAGAAAATGAACATAAGTAAATAAATGAGAGTCTAACAAGTAAGCTCATGGTGACAAATTGCTGCAGATAAACTTTCTGCCAGGCTTCCAGAAACAGCTTGACCCTAAGGACTTATTTAGACTTAGAAAAGGTCCCACAAGGGACATCAATAATACCACAGGACATCTGATTCTTCTTTTATAGGTAGCTGTAGTCCCACAACCAAGTTTCTTAGGGTGAGTAAGAGAGGTAGTTTTGGCCACTGTTCTAGTTGCCCAGAATCAATATTTGGACTAAAATCCAAAGGTCAGAATTGCTACCATCACCCCACCCCCATCCAAAATAAAACCAGTAAAAGAGAGTGGTGGTGAAAGAGGGTCAAGCTGTTAAGGAGCTAAGCAAAAAGAAGACGCAGAAATCTAAGGATCTGATTCTTAGACAAACTAAAAAGATTTATTGAGAACTTCAAGAAGCATTGGAGTTCTCCAGTGGCTAAAACAGCCTCCTAAAATAAGTCACTTTGTCTAAGTGTAAACCATTTCTTGGATCTCTATCAAATTTTTAAAAATAGCTAAGAGTTCACTGGTTCAAACTCTCAGAATATAACCATATGGCCCACAGCATAAACATGGCAACCAGACAGGGCTTCAAGACTTTCTCTGTTGATGAACATTTCTTTCAGACACCAGTCTCAGTAAACTGATTTCCTTATGGAATCCCCCCATTCTAGCAGACCCAGCAACTGGGTAAGCTTTAACAACCTCTAAATGTACAAGAAAGCATGCTCTGTTAATTCACTATGGGCATGAAAGAGTTTAGAGTTTAAGGGTAAACTCCTAATTCAATGTTTCTCAAACATGAGTAAAATCCCAAGCTTTGAAAAAGAAAACTTTCTCACAGACCTCAGTGTTAAGTTGAACTCTGCACAGATAAATATCTGAGTATTAACATACCATAAGTTTACTCATACAACACATGTATAAAATCAATACAGTTTAAATTAACATCCTTTGTTATTTAATATAAAATGATGCTTTGTGGAACCAAAAATGCAAATAGATTTAAGAGTGGCAAATAGGTACTTCTTTGTTTTATATTTTACATTTCACTTTTAGGTTTGATTCTTTTGGTTTTGATCATAATGAAACATCATTTGAGTTAATGTCATCATAATTTTTGTTATTTTTCTTTAATATTAACTTTTAGCCACTGATCCACGCTTTTGATAGACTAATAGATTTAATAGTACATTCCAAAATAACAGGAAAAGTTTAAATCTGCTTTAATAAAAACAGTTCTCTGTTTTACTATATTTATTGTTAGTAAACTTTTCCAAGTTAATATGTACAAAATCAGGAACTGCACAATATCTGTGCTTTAAAAACATCAATATGATGTCAGCTAGTATCTCACAGCTTATTATAAATTTTGCATGCTTATGGTATGTGTTATTTGCCACATTTGATTTTTTTTCTATATGTACTCTAAAATGTGATACAGTTCACCCTTTCACTTAGCAGATGTAACATAAACACAAATGCAAATAATGCCTCTGAATTATTTCTCAATGATTAATAAATAATTATCTTAAGTATATGTATATTAATTTTAGACTCAGAAAGTTAAAAATATGTAATTTTTTCAAAAAGCCTCATGTAACTCAGATAATTCTGCATTCACATTGTAGTTTGAAAAGCATTTCCTTCACTCACTTAGTAATAAACTCAGACTCAAACAGAATTTGTCACACACAATACCAATAACTGTAGATTAAGAAAAGACTAAGTCCAAAAGGTACATTGGAATAAAATTATGTGTACACAGGCCTAAATTAATTTTTGTGAAAGAAAATCCATAATTTTAATTTTTCTGAAGAAAAACATTTTTTCAAAAAGATGCTTCAAGATATTTACCCCCTTGAAACATGTAAAGAACCATCACTTTATTTTCTATGCCTTTGTCTTTGCCTGCAGGTTTAGAACTTGATGCTAGGAAAGGCTTTCCTGCCATTAAAAAAGTAAAGTGAAAATTAAATAACTAATTGTATGATTCCTTTTCAAGTTGATTACCAGAAAGCTTAGTATCTCATTTAAGTTTCAACTAGAACAGCAACGTAGGCCTTACTGCCTGGAGAATACAGGTTTATTTGTCATGGACTTGATTTTTAAATTATATTTGCATTCCTACAGCTCAAGAGTCATTTTTCCTTATTTCTCTTTGCTATGTGGCCAATTATCTTAGTGATAAGTAACTTCAAATTATTTACATAACAATGGAAGGCATAAGAAGGTATATACGGCCAGTCGCAGTGGCTCACGCCTGTAATCCCAGCACTTTAGGAGGCCAAGGCTGGCGGATCACCTGAGGTCAGGAGTTCGAGACCAGCCTGGACAACATGATGAAACCCCGTTTTTACTAAAAATACAAAAATTAGCTGGGTGTGGTGGCACATGCTGGTAATCCCAGCTACTCAGGAGGCTGGGGCAGAAGAATCGTCTGAGCCCGGGAGGCGGAGGTTGCAGTGAGCCGAGATCTCACCACTGCACTCAAGCCTGGGTGACAGAGTGAGACTCCATCTCAAACAAAAAAAGAGAAGAGAAGAGAAGAGAAAATAGATCCTAGGTTTCAGCACACACACAAAAAAATTTTTAAGTTATAGAAATTAAATAATAATTAGTAACATGAAGGCAGCTTCTACTTGTTACAAAGACCAAGGTTTCTATAAGTGCCTACTCTACCTCACCAAAGCCCCAAAAGCCAATTCTACAAAAAATTATGAATGGAGATGGTCAATTGTAATTGCCTACTAAGCCAGATCCAAGGAGGATTAAAGCCAGGTACTGGTTATTTATCTCAGTATTGAAGTATTTAAACTAAACACAGTTATGACAAAAAAAAAAAGGCTCATTATGTAGTTATACCTCTGTCCCATCACCACCCTGAATAGCAGTGTGCTGGATCTCTAATACATTTTCATAAATTATATAGAAGTGTATTGTAAATTGATTCTCAGTTTTAAAACAAAATAAAATCTAAATTGTGAACAAAATTAAAATGGTAGAGCCAAGGGAAAAAGTATTATAAATTCAAAAGAAATATCTACAAATTTTTTTTTCTAAAGAACAGATTTAAGCCATGCATAGTAGCACACACCTGTAGTCTCAGCTACTTAAGAGCCTGAGGTAGGAGGATCACTTGAGCCCAGGAGTTTGAATCCAGCCTGGGCAACATAGCAAGGCCTCATTTCTAAAAAAAAACAATTAAAAAATTAAAGAACAGGTTTATTACAGAAAATTTTCAAAGAAGAAACTTTTTTGGGTGGGGTGGGTAGAGACTGCCTGAATTAAATCTTTCTTATTGTGAAAAAGTACAGCTACCAAAAACTGTATTAGTCAACACTTTCAGTGGTGAAAATTCACAAACATTTCTTTTAGAATCAAGAATGTACAAAAGATGTCTACTATCTTTTTATTTAATGTTGTTCTGGATATCGTAACGCAGTAAGACAGATGATATATATATGTCTATATGAAAATAAAAAAGAATCAGCCGGGCGCAGTGGCTCACGCCTGTCCCAGCACTTTGGGAGGCTGAGGCAGGTGGATCACCTGAGGTCAGGAGTTCGAGACCAGCCTGGCCAACATGGTGAGACCCTGTTTCTACTAAAAATACAAAAATTAGCTGGGCGTGGCAGTGGGTGCCTATAATCCCAGCTACTCTGGAGGCTGAGGCAGGAGAATCGCTTGAACCTGGAAGGCGGAGGTTGCAGTGAGCCAAGATCGCACCATTGCACTCCAGCCTGGGCAACAAGAGTGAAACTCCATCTCAAAAAAAAAAAAAAAGAAAAGAAAAAAGAATCAATATTTTCATCATTAATAAGAGTATCACAAGGCTTTCTAGCATTTAAAGACAAAAAATAAAATAAAGAACTAGAATATGAATGCATTTAAATAAAAAAAATTCTTAAAGGTTAACTCTATAGCACAGTTAAAGTTCTATTAACAAACTCCATTCAAATGAGGAATTTAAATAGAAAGTCAGCTGTTAAATGCTTTATCCAAAAACATTTCATAAATTACGTGAAACAGAGTTGTTTGCATTTTTAGCTGCTTGACAAAATATACAAAGCCAAAGTCCTTATATCTCCCAAGTCCAGCTGAAATAAACACGACAGATCTTAAGCTAAGAAACATCTGCAATTTTGTATGTTTTTCTAAGCCTATAGCTAAGAGAGTGAACTCTGGGGTCAGATCAACCTTGGTTCAAATCCTGGCATCAGAACTTATAAGTTAAGTGATTTTCGTAACACTTCCCTCTTTATAGACTTGGGCTCTTTATTTGTAAAAGAGAGATAATACTATCTGCCTTATAGGAATGTTGGGGCCATACATAGAACATGTTTATTCTATCAAGTGTTCCAAGCATTTGATAGAACGTGCTTTGGCTTCTAGTATCTCAGCAATACTGCCTTGGTCTTCTCACCCAAAACGAAGCTAAACTTCCTCACATGGATTCTCTATTCTAAATGGGTAAATGACTATATCCTGATCAACAGCACCAAGGTGAATATGTTTCTTATGCCATCCTCTCACCATCCACTTAATACTGCTCCCACTCTCAGAAACCCTCCCATCACCATTTAGTAAATGAAATCACACTCATCTTTTAAAGGTCAACTCAAGTTACATCAGGATTCTTATGCTGAATTCGCTAACAATTGGAGATCTGTGTTTATCAAAATAATGTAAAACATAAGATGATACCCTATAACGTACAATCAGGCTGTATGCAGCCTGATTCAACAAAATTAGACTATGATTATTCAGTCTTTTATCCACCCCCTCCAATCACTCCTCGTGATTTTTTTTTTAAAGGTCTCCCTCTGTTGTCCTGGCAGATCATGGCGATCATGGCTCACTGCAGCCCTGACCTCCCAGGTTCAGGTGATCCTCCCAACTCAGTCTCCCAAGTAGCTGGGACTATAGGCACACACCATCAAACTGACAAATTTTTTTGTATTTTTGGAAAAGATGGGGTTTTGTCATTTGCCCAGGCTGGTTTGGAACTCCTAGGCTAAAGTCATCTGCCTGCCTCAGCCTCCCAAAGTGCTGAGACTACAGGCATGAGCCACTGTGCCTGGCCCACCCCTCACTTCTAAAGAGGACTTTTGTCTGCACTGCTCAGCTTTTGTTGGTACCTCTGTAGACAGAAGAAAAAATGGTGGGAAATTTTTTAATTAATCTAGAGAAAACAATTTGATTATATGATAAAGGGTAAAAAGTTACCTGGGGAACAGAAGAAAATTATCCTGAATGTAGGAGAATGGGGGGGGAAAGTAGGTCTCAGTATAAGCCAGGTGATTTTTTTTTTTTTTTTTTGGTGGAGATGCACAAAAATCAGAGTAACTACTATGTGATGTAGGACTTTAAGAAGTCAGAGAGAGTTCTTTCTAAGCAAGTTTTTCCACTTATATATCATACATACATTCAAACATAAATTCATAGATACATGTATTCATACACATACATCTGAGGGAGTCTTCAGTGAATGCTATTTTAAGCACTTTTTAATATGGAATATATATCTTTTTTTTGGTTTGACACCAAAGAGAATTACACATTTAGATACAGGCAAAAAGATGCACTTTTGTTCCCACTACATATATTAAACAAAATCTCTGAGAGTGGCATAATGTAAGTATCAAATAAACAGTAGCTGCTCTCATCCTGTCATCTGTTTAATTATTCTGAGTATGTTCACGATCTCCTCAAGAAGACAAGTCATCTTGCTGATGGCAATACCCTGTACTACTTCAAACCACAGCATCTAGCATTGTACTAAAGACGGGGTCAGGGATCAATAAGTATCGGCTAATTGAATCACTGACATTTGAGAAAAGCCCAACATCTGAGAAACAAATAATTAGGTTATGATGCGAAGCTTAGCTTCAGGAGAAGCAAGAATGTTTTTCAATTTATTTCTCCTCCAATGCAGTCCAGAATTCCTCTTCAGTACATAACTCAGGCTGGAGAGATAATATATGTGCTAATCACCATACAAGGAGAATATATACTACATGCATTTGTATCCCTTCTCACTGATACATCTGGTTTCCCATTAAGGTGTTTAATGAAACCTTACCTGTTATACCAAAGGCTGTGAGATAATGAATCTAAATGTATAAGCCTTATTTCCATTAAAATTAAATATGTCTAATCCTCAAAATAGAAGCACTCAATCTTCGTTAACTACAAAGGAAAGTGGTAGGTGTTTTTTCTTAATACCTCTTGTATCCATTTTTTAAGTTATATTGTAAAAGGTATATATTTCAGGCTGTAAATGTCTTATTTATCTTGCAAGAAAGAAACTCCTTTCACCTTGGTATAGAGTTGCTTTCTGAAAAAATTTCCAATGAATAACAATCAGAAGCAGGAAAGAAAAGAAGGATACAAGGATATTATATTACTGATGTCTTCCCTGCCATGCTCTGAGTGGCCACAATCTCATAGAATTCTATGATTTTTAGGGACCTGGGAGATCATTTGATTGTGCCATATATTTTATAGATTAAAAATCTGAAAATCATAGAATTTAAGTGACATGTAGAAAAAATATTAATATTCAAAGAAGGTAAATTTAAAGAAGGAAACAGATAAAGATGAAAATAGAGAAGCAGTCTTTTTTGTGTGATCTTAAGTAATCCTGTCATTTTTAAAAGTTGAAGTTTTCTATGGTATGATAAAATTTTTCTATAGTATAATATATAGCCAATTTTCTATAGTATGATAAAACTTTACTAATAGTCTGATATAAAGTCCCAATCTAAAATATTTTATATATTACATGAAATAGAATTGCTTTATTTTTTAGTTGCCTAACAAATTAATCCAGTGAAAATTCTATTTCTCTCAGTAAACAGACAGATCTTAAAGAAAGATAAAACATTTATACAGCCTGTAAATGTTCCCTTCAATACAAATGGAGTAAGACCAAACCAGTTTAATTACTGGAACCTTCCTTGTCAAATGTGCACTCTTGAACAAATTGTTTCCCCTTTCTGGAAGAAAGCCCCTTCATCTGTCAAACAGAGATAATACAGCCTGCCTCATAGGATTACCGTGAGGAATATATTGGAAAACATCAGCAAAGCACTAAACATAAGGCTTGACACATAGGAAGTCTACAACAAATGACAATCTCATGCTTGCTATCCCTATAAAAATAGGAAAGGAATGAAAACATTAATTTACATGCAACAAAAGTCTGATCTTAAGTGACAATACTTTAACTGATTAAAATGCTAAAAACACTAAGATTTGCCTGTTTACTGAGAGACATGGAATCTGCATTGTATTGACAGCAAAAGAAAAGGAAAACCATTCTATTTCATATAGTATATAAAATGCTTTGGATTGAGATCCTGCACCAGTAAATAAAGCTCCTAATAAATGAATAATATAATGTTATCTCACTGGAAACAATAATACAAATTTCTATTTTAACCTTGATCTCTGACTGCAAAAGAAATCTGTGTGATTCACCAGCAAGCTTGATGGGATCAGAGGGAACAAGGGGAAGACAAGTGAGAAGAGGGGCCTTGTAAACATGCTGACTCAGGGAACTTCTATCCCTTTATGACCGTGAGAATGATATTATCATAGGACTATTTATACCTTCTCTCTTATCATACGGCATCACAAAAATCCTGCTAATTCAGGCAACTGAAAGAACTGACTAAATTAATTGCAGGACCTTAGGGTCCTCTAAACTTGCAGAAACTGGAGATGAATTTACCGTGAAGAAGGGTCAATGTGATATGTTGATTTTTTTTCATTTGTTTGTTTATATGTTTTTAAGAAGCAGGAAAGTCAAACCTATACCAGGGACCTTTATGGTTTTCATTTAAACTGTAAAAGTCCCCATGTGAGTATGTGTATGAGGGGAA
Source organism: Homo sapiens (assembly GCF_000001405.40). Classification (NCBI taxonomy): domain Eukaryota; kingdom Metazoa; phylum Chordata; class Mammalia; order Primates; family Hominidae; genus Homo; species Homo sapiens. Next base: position 696,953 of record NT_187556.1, read on the forward strand.
GGGGACAGTAGATAAATACACGGTAAAGCAATCTCATCTGTCAGATCTTTTTTAAGCTCACTTACTGTTTTTCCTCGTGTAAAACATGGTTTTAAAAGAGAGAAATACATTAATATCCAACCCACTACAAACTGAGCTACTAAGTTACATTATCAGGAAATAAACTTTTTAAGAAATCTAAAAATTTCCCACATTTTATTTATTTATAACACTCCGATCTCTACGTTGTAATTAAAATTTAAAAGTGCAACCATCATAATATTCCATAAAATAGCAACATTAATACGTCGATTTTATTTTTGTTCATAAAGTTTATTCTAAGTTCTTGAAATCTTGCTTTATCAGAAATACAATACCTATGGGAATTAGACTATGTCAGTTACCCCAAGGATATGACAAAAAAAGTTAAGATATGGCTTTCAAGTACAGATCATCTATTGTAGCTTTGACACAACACATATACTTTTATAAAAAGCTGTGGAGAATAAAAATATTCAAGAGTCATTATAGCATTATTATTACAGAAACATGAAATGAGGCTACATTATTTCCAAGTACATACTTATTTATATAAAACACAAATAAATTTTCCAATTAATCAATTCAGTATATGAAAGAACGCAATATTAAGAAACAAATCTGATTAAGCAAAGACCCAAAATGTAAAATTCTGCCAAAAAGAAGCTATTTTAGTCAAATCCAGATGGAGACTACTAGATGAAGTTTTGAACTCAGTATCCACCATCTCTAGTCCAATAAAAAAGTGTCTTTCACTTGCAAATAAAATGGTTGTTAGATATATTAAAATAATTTCTTTTCATTATATTAACATAACAAAAACCCTTCCCCAAATCTTTAAAATATATTTGTACTTAAAAACTATGTTTATTGTATTTTATTCATGGTGAATATTAAAGCCATAAGTTTACAAAATTTTCTGTAAGAATGACAATCCGTTTCCTTTTGTAAACTGAAATATTTTAGTTTGTTAACAAATGTATGATCGATTTTTATTTTTCCCTATTTCCATTCTTTGAGAAGTTTTACTGGAAATATAATCCAATATAATGGTCGAATTGAAGAGAATTACTTTTCAGTTACTTATTAAGTATTTTTAGCTATTTCTTTAATAAGATATGTATGAAAACCTGAAAGCTCTATAACAATTTGTTTAACTTCTAAATTGGAGGTGGAGTAAATCAAACTTCCTGTTGAACACTGATAAGAAAAATAATCACTAATTTGGCTACTGATGAATAAAAATATGTAGGCACCACAGCATAGAAATGACTGTGTCCTTATTAAATAAGAAAGCGAATAAAAATCCACCTATCTAAGAATGTTAGTAATTGCTAAGGGCTTTTGCAAACAGAGATTTCCATACTATACTTGCCCTCCCTTATTCCACATAAGAAGGCAATTACCAGAAAAGAAAGAAATGAAGGTAAAATCATGAAAAGAAGTATGAATAAGGCATAAGACAAAATTCCCAAGAGAAACCTAAAGAACTCAAATCTGATGTCCAGAAACATGAACAACACTTCACTGTCAACCTAGAGCAATGGAAAATAAACTATAGCAAACCTAAAATCATGGAGTGTTACCATTCCTCACACCTCTTCTGCATATTCATTTAATCAAGTGTAAGCAGGAAATAAAACACTGAAATATATTTGCCCATAAATATTCCCTAGTAGATTTTTTTCAAGAACTAAATCTCCCTGGATAGTGGTTTATAATTGAATGTACAATTGCAGATGAATGAGAGATTATATCAACAGGAAAATACAGAAATTCATTGTAGTTTAATGCTTTCATGATCTCTGCCTTATCTTCTCTTTTATTGTACCAAATATAAATAATTGAACAAATGAAATGTGAGGTGAGAGGTGCCCACTGCAATATTTTAGGTAAAGAGCTGCTGCTGTTTTACCACCTTAGTTAAAAAACAAGCCAGCATATCCTCAGAAGCTGATTCTGTTATAAGGGAGAGAAAGACAGAAACATATTCACACCGTTCAAAAAAAAAAGAATAAAAAAATCATTGTGTCATAGGCTTTATTTGTAAAATACATGAAAAATTTTGATGAAAAGAAGTGCTGTTGAAAGGGTATAGGCGTTATAGTCTATTTGTTCTGTTTTACTTGGGTAATAAGGAAATTTTAAGCATTTAAAATCTATTTAAGCATTGGGATTTGGGCAAGGTTGCCAACTGTGGAAACTCTTTAATGATTATAGGAGACTTATGGGTCAGGTGACCACATAAGTCTTCCTCCAAAGCAAAACACAGAGTTTTGCACAGAGAAACAGGGCACTATTAATAAATATTCCCAGGCTACAGGTATGAACCATTACTGTCCCGGGAAGAATAGCACATATGGGCAATCCACCCACTAGTTTTAGAATGTGGAGCAGCACTGAGAGGCAATCATGTACTAAGAAAACTATGTACTAAGTCCATGTCTATGGACTGATACATGCATTCACTTGATGGGGATGGCAGAAGGGGAGAAATAAAAACTCCAAATAGCAGGATGGGAGCCAGAAATAACAGGCCAGAAAAAGGAGTTGGAGGATCAAAGACACTAGATTTTTACAGGGCACCCATGGGCTAGCTCACAGCAAGGTAGAAAGTATTAAAGGTAGCAATCAGGGTCAGATATAAAAGTGTTCTTAATTTTAAAGCCTTCAGTGTTTTGTAAGAAGCAATCAGCAGGTATTATATATGTTGGAGTGCAAAAGTAGAAGTAGAGGAAGGTAATTTTGTTAAAATTCAAGAACAGGAGACTTATCAACAGCATCAAATGCCCTTAAAGGAAAAAGGAAAAGAAAACAGAAGGTAGAGGCAGTGCACAGAAAGGTATTCATCAATCCAACGACCACTGATAGAATCCAGTAATGAGTATGCTAGATCAAGGCTTCCAAACAGATGGATGAAAGGTGCAATCTGTCTCCAGAAATGTTTTGTTTGACATGCACAGTGCTTTGTAAATATTTAAGCCAATGTTTTTAAAGAAAAATTCAACGTAACAATTGGTATTTCTAGTTACTCTAGAATAACTTAAAGTAATGCAAACACTGGGCCTATACGTCCATGAGGCCAAAATATGTGGGATTTGAACACAATTTAATATTTACTCTTAAAATGAAAAGTTATCACCAAGCAAGCTTATATTACCTGTTAGCTAGTAGAGCTTTCAATGTGCAAACCATATTAACTCCTTTAGAGCCACTAAATTGAGTCTTTTATCTCCAGTTTAATGTCATACTCTTAGCCCTCTAACCTAAAAGAAGCTAAGCAAAAAAAAAGAGTGACAAGTTTACTTCAACTCTTCTTCAATTTCTAAGCACCTCTACAAACAAGTATGTCTGATACTTCGCTAGGTGCTGATGAATCATAAAAGTGAGGCAAAGCCTGAAATTAGCCAGGAATCTAAAAGAGACAGCCCTGAGTCTACAGATGAAACATGACTCATTCAGTCTTGGAGTTATAACTTCTACCATCTTCTACTCTTTGAAGAGCAAGGGCCTGATAAATGAGATTTTTAAACCTAATCTTAGCACTTTAAGTAAATAAAAGGTGGCATTACTGTGCCAAAATAAGCGGTGGTGATATAAACACGGGAAAAAGACATCTGTAAATCCACATCAACAGTATTCTTATTTTATAGAGGCAGAGAGGTTAGTGTGTACTATGTGGTAGAAAATGAACGCGAATTTAAACAGGACATGTTCAGACAAAAAGGAGAGAGAGAAAATCATCACTATAATTCCTTAAATATCTGAAGGAACATTTGATAGATAACTGAAAAGTTTGTTAAAGAACTTCAGCCTCAAAAATAAAGAAAAAATATCATAAAATACAGATCATCAGTTTCTCATGTAATTTTCACAAGTAAATTGATTAAATGAATGTTCCTGGTAGCTCATTTTCTCACCTAGTTCTTCCTTAAAATGTACCCCAGAGTTTAAAATTCCCCTTCTTAAAATTAGAATTTACCAGTCTGAACTCCCAAAACCCTAAGGGCAAAAACTTTCAAACATTTTGTTCATGGAGAATCTTTTCAAAAATGAAATCGTGCAATGAAACTTACATGAAACAAATAAAAGCTAAATATCATAGTCAAAATGACAAAGGGTCTCCTTGCAGTCCACTCCAGCCTGCCAGGAACACTGTAGTAGGGGCTTAGAGAGATGGGGTCAAGGTCTGGTTGGATGTTGAAAGAGGGAATCAGATTTCTGGGGTCCAGATCATCCATCTCAATTTTCTTCAATGTAGCTCAACTTCAGTCAGTTTTACATTTTTCTATTGGGCCTTCTGATTAGTATATAATCATTTGAAATATTCCATTAGTAGGCCTGGCGTGGTGGCTCAATTCTGTAATCCCAGCACTTTGGGAGGCTAAGGCAGGTGGATCACGAGGTCAGGAGTTCGAGACCAGCCTGGCCAACATGGTGAAACCTGTCTCTACCAAAAATACAAAAATTAGCCGGGCATGGTGGCGCACACCTGTAATCCCAGCTACTAAGGAGGCTGGGGCAGGAGAATTGCTTGAACCCAGGAGGTGAAGATTGCAGTGAGCAGAGATCGCACCACTGCCCTCCAGCCTGGGTGACAGAGCGAGACTTCATCTCAAAAAAAAAAAAAAAAAAGAAATATTCCATTAGTAAAAATCACAGAAACCCTAAAACAAACATAAACACTAAAACAACTTTAAATGTAAAACACTACTATACAATATTAAGTGCTTTAGTTGCACTATCCTATAATTTATTTTTCATTCTGCAACTACCTCTAGTTGCAGATCACTGTACAGTCCAGATTTGATTGCCTCTTCCTTGGCCCTAGTATAAAGATAAAGTATTTAACATAGATTATGTCTTTATGACCTGCCCCTCCTATCTTCAAAGCTTATCTACTGCCCTTCTTGGTCTATGCTGCAGCCATACTGAACTTTTTTTATTTCCTCTAAAGTGCCACGTACTCTCATTCCTCCAGGTCTTTGCATGTGGAGTTCCCTCTGCATGGAGGACCACTCTCCCCTCTGTCTCTGCCTGGAGAACTCTTATTCATAGACAGATCCCAACTGAGACATCAAATTCTCAAAGGCTATGAGTTTCCACAGCAGTATCCCCTAACAAAGCACATATAACATCTTATAATGACTGCAAATAGTCTTCACTTTGCTCAGTAGTGTAGGAATATGAAAATGATATGCTAGTTGAAACTGTGCAAATAAATCTTTGTAATAAGTAATAAAATAGTTTGTTCAATGTCCTTTGAAAATTTTTGTCAAAACACTAAAAAAACTGTCATTTTTTACAAATGTATACAGAAATGAGGTAGTCAAACTCACAGTTATTTACCATACTAAATACAGAACATTAAAAATCTTGAAAACCATCAATAAAAGAACACTCAGCACTTAAAAAAAACTATTTATTTAGCAAATGCAGACAATTCATTAAAGACATTTCACAGTTGTTTAGCAAGCACATGAAAACATATTTGATATTATCAGCCATTAGAGAAACGCAAACTAAAATTTCAATGAGATCACTAAACAACTATTGGAACAGCTAAAATAAAACACAGTGCTAGCATCAAATGCTGGTGAAGATGGATTACTCATACATTGCTGATGGGAATGTAAAATGGTACAGCCACTATGAAAAACAGCTTGACAGTATTTTATGAAACTAAACATGTATTTACCATGCTAGATAGCAATTGTACTCTTGTGCATTTATTGCAAAGAAATAAAAATTTATGTTCACACAAAAACATTTAGATGAGTGTTCATAGCTTTATTTGTAATAGCCAAAAAGAAAAAAACAAAAATGTCCCTCAATGAGAAAACAGTTAAATAAATAATGGCATACAGTGGAATACTATTCAGCAGAATAAAGGAACTATTAATATGCACAACTTGCATGGATCCTAAGGGAATATCTAGATTGAAAAAACTGAACCCAAAAGGTACATAGTACATACATACCATATACATACATACATACATATACACACATATTCCATTTATACAAAAATCTTAAATTGTGACGTTACAGAGGAGTAATGATGAGTGGTTCTGAAGGAACAAGGGGAGGGGGCTGTGTCTACGAAAAGGTAGCCCAAGGGATCCTTCAGGTGACAAAAAAAATTCTGTTATATATCTTGATTATCGTGGTAGTTACTATGACTCTACACATGATAAAACTGGAAATAACACACATACACATATGACTGCGTATAAAACTGGTAAATTCTGAATAAGATCAGGTTCTATCAATATCGGTTTCCAAGTTGTGATAATGTACTACAGTTAATGCAAAATGTAAAATAATACATTTGAGGGAAAATGGATAAAGGGACACAAAAACTCCCTGTATTCTTTCTTATAACTGCATGTGAATTTATAATTATCTCAGAAATAAAAGTTGAATTTAAAAATTAAGAGTAGTTTGAATAATGCTACCCTTGTTTTCTTGGTTAAATATACCGTAAGGAAGCTAGCATATATTTTATGTCTCAGAAAATTATCATATTCCTTACTAAGTTGGGATAAGCCTCTAGCATTTAATCCTTTACATGTATTTTGGTTTTTTGTTTATGTTTTTTTTTTTTTTTTTTTTTTTTGAGACTGAGTCTCACTCTGTCGCCCAGGCTGGAGTGTAGTGGCACCATCTCGGCTCACTGCAAGCTCTGCCTCCTGGGTTCACACCATTCTCCTGCCTCAGCCTCCTAAGTAGCTGGGACTACAGGCATCCACCACCGCCCGGCTAATTTCTTGTATTTTTAGTAGAGACGGGGTTTCACCGTGTTAGCCAGGATGGTCTCAATCTCCTGACCTCATGATCTGCCCGCCTCGGCCTCCCAAAGTGCTGGGATTACAGGCGTGAGCCACCACGCCCAGCCTCCTTTACATGTTTAATGTTACGATATATCTCACACATTCTAAATTTGTTGTATTTTTATTCATGTCTTTTTTACCACATAAGCATCTATATAACTGGCAATAAGAATGGTTAACATGATTAGAAAGAGTAAGGCAATGTGCTAAGCATTTTATAAGTATTAACTCATCCAATTCTTATGACAGTATGAGGGCACTAGTATTATTCCTGTTTTACATGGACTATGAAGCGTAGGAATTTAAACTAACTTGCTTAAGATTACACAGCTAATACATGATGAAGCTCACATTCAAGCCTAGGCCACTTTCATCTAGACTAACTTTTAATCACACATGCTTTCAGCCTCCAATGGTCAGCCCTTATCTGTTCAAGGTCAGGCTGAAGTAATTACATGCAAATTATAGCATGTTCTTAAAGGAAATTATTTCATCAACAAATATTTTACAGAAACCAGAACTCAACTAGTAAAAGTTTTAATGAATGTTAACACTTTACTGGAGAGTTACAATTATATTCACAGAAACAAAAAAGCTGGTTTCCCTTATGGTAACAGCTAACTCTAAAATTCTTAAGAGTATATTGACTTCATTGTTTTACAACACCTAAACATTCTTTAAATGTTGTTTACAATCCAAATATTCTGATGTGAAGATGAAAGTTTTCTTACACTTACATGCAGAACAACTGAGTTCAGTAATTATGCAACGTCCAAAAGTGAGAATAAAGGGTAAAGCTGCCTAGCAAACCATTTTATCAAATTACCAAAAAATAAATTTCTATCCATGCTATCTAAATTATTTGAAATTTAAAATAGTAGAATAAAAATACTTAAGATTTGACATTAAGTCAGTCTTTTAATTTCCCTTACCTTCCTTATCCAGAGAAAAAAATATTTTTTGTGCCTTTAACACACATTCAATACATATTTGTAGAGGGCCTATTGTGTGTAAAATAGCCTCTCTTTACCGAATATTAATAATATACACACACATGCATGTGGGTATAGGTGCATGTATCATAGACATTGTAAAAATTCTAAAAACTGGGGAACGAAGAAGAAGATTCAAGTAAATTTTTAAAAAAATATTCTTTACACACACCGGGGCCTGTTGTGGGGTGGGAGGACGGCGGAGGGATAGCTTTAGGAGATATACCTAATGTTAAATGACGAGTTAATGGGTGCAGCACACCAACATGGCACATGTATACATATGTAACAAACCTGCACGTTGTGCACATGTACCCTAAAACTTAAAGTACAATAAAAAAAGTAAATAAAAATAAAAATAAACAAAAAGAAATTCTTTACCAAAGTTCCCAATTTTTCTACACATAAACATATTTTCTACTAGAATTTCACAATTTAAGAATGCTGCTGAGTGCAGTTTTCCTTTAGTCATTTTCAACCCATCCTTTTCTGAAATTGTTAAAAATCAGTGAGACAATTAAAAGGCAAATAGCTTTGGGAAAAGTAAGTAAATGGAAAATCAGTCTATACACAATATATTTAACTTAGTCAAATAGAGAAATGCCTAGGTCCCAGGTGTTACTTGTCCTGTTTAAGGCTAACCCTTCTCTCTATTTGCAAGGTCTCATTTCCTTTTATCTTCTTCCAGTCCCTCTCCCCACATCAAACATCAATTAAACCCCTCTTCTCCTGTTTCTTTAGTCTACCCCCTTGACTAATCTGGCCCCTGCATAGAATCTCCTCCATTTTAACAACAACAGCAACAACAACAATTCAAGTCCAGATCTACTCTTTCTCCTTTCTTTAATCGAGCTTATTGAAGGTATAATCAACGGACTTCCTCATTTGCATGGCGAGCTCACTTCATTGCAACTTTATTCTTGACCCTTCTGACAGCTGAAACTAGTTTAGCCAGTCACTAATGAGCCCTTAATTAATGAATCTATTAGGCATTTTTCATTTCTCATCCTACTGTATCTTTCCAAAGCAATGAGAACTATTGGCAATTCTTCTGCCTTCTTGAAACCCTCCCCCATGCCCTTCACGAAACAACTATTGTTCTTTTTCCTGCTACTTCTCTGATGACCCTCTTCAATTTTCTTATTAATGTCTCTTTCTCTGTCCATCCTTCAAGTAATGGCTTTCATTTAGGTTTCTTTTCTTTCTCATATCATAAATTGCAATGTTTCATGGATAATTTTTCACACCCCATGGCTTCACCATCAATTCATTCTGATGATGCATAAATTTACATTTCTACTTCAGATCACTTTCCAAATTAGTATGAACAATAGGGGTCTGGAACTATTTTATTCATTCTATGTCACTCAGACAACCAGGATCAGAGTTGAAATTGTAAGCCATACCCCTGCGTCCAATTTTAGTCCTGTGCTTTTTCTAACATAGCATATAGCTTCTCTAGTTCTACAATTGTATCAATGCTGTTTCAGAGAAGTAGCAGAAGAAATATAAATTCCAAAACTTTACACAAAGGCAGAACTCCATGGTGGAGCTGGGGTTTGAATACTGGGGAAGCCTAAGAGAGGTAGAAAAGAGAATTTCTAGACACAATTTAAGAATGAGGATGGAGGCTGGAAGTCCATTAAGATGAGACAGAGCACAGGGATCCATCCTTCCTGAACCAAGAAACAGATAAAATTTTTCTCCTTCACATTTTCTTTTGCCTGTATTTTCAATTACCTAATGAAACAATGAAATTTAGCTACTATTATGCTTATATTAAATCAAGGTTTCAAGTCAGCTCACTCGGTAGGTATATCTCAGTAACTGTTTAATCAGCTATGGATCAGAGTTCAGATTTTAATAGTTTTATATGATATCACAATATTAAGCACAGGAAAGAAACAAAGACAGAGATCACAGACCTCTGATTACCAACTGCCTTTTACCAGTTGTATAACATCATGTAGGAAATAGTCACTTCCCTGAGAGGGCAAGAAAGGCAGGAGCAGGAGAGAGATATGGGGAGGAGACCTACATTTCAGGTCTAGGTGGGGACCCCAGATCCCAGACATCTAGCTCCACTGTAAGTCTTAAGGATTCAGCATTTCTGGACACTGTCACTGTACACGCTGTTCCCAGCCTCAGTCTATTTATATTTATAGACTAGTTGGCTCTTTGTAGCCAGAAGACATCAACACCACCCAAATAATTATAAATATTCATAGTCAAGAGCAACTGTCTTTGTTTTTCAAAATGATAGAAATATGAAAGCTACAGTGTTTCCATTCCTGGCACCTTACAATTACCTTATTGCTGATTATGCTGATATTGTAACTATTTATTTATAAAATCTCTGTCCAAATTAACTGTAACCATTACTTTCATCAGTGCAACCTTTGTAAATAGATAATGTGCTGCTGTATTTTAACAGTAAGTGGTAGTGATGTTATACAGACATTACATCATTCAGTCACCCGTTTTGCCATCTCTACTCACACAGCAAATTTCCATGAAAAACATTAGCATCTACCCAGGATAGGCCCACTCAGTGAAGCCGTATGAATGACAATTTTACTTCAGATCTGTGAGCTTATCCCAAAGTTAAATTCAATATAGTTTTATAACTTTAATACTAAAATACATCAAAATTGGCTACCTCCTTCATAAGTTAGAGTGGTCAGAACAGCCAAATGAAATTCAAAACAATTATGATAAACCAGAGACCCAATTCCATTTGACTTATAATAACCACAATTTACTATAATGGTCCTTGGCCCTGAAGGAGAGGGCATATTCAGGCCAGACTCTACAATCCCATTCAGACACCATCGGTGGTGAGGGGTGGCAGTGCTCCTGCACTCCCTTCTACATACAGACCCTTGCTTTCAGTTCACCATGGGTCATGGGGTTTGTGGCAGTTGAAGAGTTCAATACCTGCTACATATTCAGAGTAACCCAACAGTGTGCAGCTGAATGAAAACACTGCTCCAACCACAGGGAAATTTTAATAGATGAGGTCATGCATCCCAAAGTTTCAGACATGGTACAATAAGAAGAAAAACGTGAAAAGAAGAATCTTGAGCAGAGCTCTGGGTATTTTCCAAATACTGGGAGGTTTTGTCTACCAGAAATTTTCACTGGACAGTACAGTACAATAACTCAATAATGCAGTGCCATCTTCAGTAGCAGAATACCTAGAAGTGAGATGTCTTTCTAAGTCTGCTGTTTCAAAGCAAATAATTAACTTGATAAATCATGCAAATAGAACCCTTGCTCGGCTGAATGACAAAAATATCCAGTGCATTACCTCAGCACATGGATTGGTAGAAAGATAATATGAAATGAAAGGCTTGCTTCAATTTTTAAGTATCTGCAGGCAGCAGCTGGAAAGCAGCAATATATTTCAGTTAGGAAGAGCAGCTCCTAAAATTATAATAGACTGCTCAGATTTGAAGGCAGAAGGAGAAAAGTGGGGAGAATGATATACATGGAGATAACAGCTTTTACTTATGTGATACTTATTGCTCCCGGTTTCTATCATGACAGCCAGTTAAATAGGATGCATACTGTAGACAATACCCTAATTGCCCTTGCTTTCACTAAGATACAGACTCCTCCAGGATACTGGCACTCAAATGTAGCATAGGATCTCACTGGAGGGCAACCATACAACCCAGTGGTTGACTGTTATAAAGGATAATTTCCACCAGGTACGGTGGCTCACGCCTGTAATCCCAGCACTTTGGGATGCCGAGGTGGGTGGATCACCTGAGGTCAGGAGTTCAAGACAAGCCTGGCCAACATGGAAAAACCCCATCTGGGATTACAGGCGTGAGCCACCACATCTAGCCAAGGCAGTATTTTCTATCTTTGAGTATAACAAAGTTATTCTCTGTATAGTGGTATACTTCCATTTTCCCTAAAGAATAAAGTTTGACAACATTTAATAGTAATCCAAAAATGAAAGTTATCTGTTTGTTTTTGTAGTTCAATAAAAAGGTCCAGGGACAGACGCAGTGGCTCACGCCTGTAATCCCAGCACTTTGGGAGGCTGAGGCGGGTGGATCACCTGAGGTCAGGAGCCCGGGGCCAGCCTAACCTATATGATGAAACCCCACCTCTACTAAAAATACAAAAAGTAGCCAGGTGTGGTGGCAAGCGCCTGTAATCCCAGCTACTTGGGAGGCTGAGACAGAAGAATCGCTTGAACCTAGGAGGCAGAGGTTGCAGTGAGCTGAGATCACGCCACTGCACTCCAGCTTGGGCAACAAGAGCGAAACTCGGTCTCAAAAATAAAAAAAAAATAATAAAATAAAATAAAATAAAAAATAATCCATAACACATCTGTGAAAGAGCGTTTGCCTACTATCTCAATTAATAAGTGAAGAATTAGCCATAGAGTGCATGGCAATAATTCAGTAGCTTGCTCAGGTGGCATTATCCTTTAGTCTAGAGTCAAAGGAATGCTGGTCTTTTTCACAAGCATTTTCCACTGTATTAGTTCAATTCACTGCTTCTTGAGTGGTACAAGTTAGAAGGTCTTCTTCATCAATAAATATCTATTTCAAAATAAAAACTAGTTATCTTTATAGGCAATTTTGTATTTGTTGTTGCTCAGAGTTGAATTTTACCAAGATTTTATAACAGAAAAAAGCACTTTAAGACAACCCATGATCTTCTGAGAATGACAGCGCTTAAGAGATCATTTCATAAAATCACAACATTCTAACAAAAATTTATCAAAGTTTAAGAAATTTTAACTCCTCCTATTTCCCGGGACCTGGTCGCTTTAAGTGAGAAAAACAAGTAACAGGCCAGAGTACTAAAACCTTGACACATTATCATTTCACTTAATCCTCATTTAATCTCTGTATTTCAGATGAGACACTAATGTTCTTAAAATCATGGGCCAGTAAGGGGCACAGATTTCCAACACTTTTCCTACTCAACTCCATCTCTTTGAAATTTCATCAACTAGAGCCAAAAAGTAGTCACAAAACATTGAGATGTGATGACAGCTGCTATTATATAACGTCAAGGTAAATCACTAATTAGCATTTGAGAAACATATAAAGAGTATTAACCTAATAAGTATGGTGAATATGAAGCCAGTAATTCACCTCCAAACCCATTCTTCTATGTCTTCTACTTTCCATAGCAGAATTCCTAGACTAATTCTGCAAAATGTTCATAATCCAGGACCTAATGTGTGACTCCCTTCATGTTGATATGAGCATCAATTAAACTTTTATATGCTTTTAAATAAACATTGGTGAAATTAATAGCTAGGAAACTAAAAAGTGTAGGGTGGCAATGTTATTCTACACCCTATACAACCAAAACTAGCCTTAGTTTGTTTTCAACATTGCACCGCTAGCATTAAAATTCCTTTTAGTTTTACTTATGTAAATACTACCCAACAGAGCTCCTGAGTAACATGAAATAACCTGTGTCATAATTCAGAAATACTGAATTTTTTGAAATACTGAAAATGGGATATAGGTCTCCCTCTGTCCCATTATAGCTTTCTTACACTTAAGAATTCAGAGCAAATTAAGAATAATTAACTACTTGAAATAAATATGTCTAAGTATTGAGTATCTAAATTTATAAGGACTAGCTTTCCAACCATTTAGAATGTTTCATATTTAGCATAGTTTATAGGGATTCCAGAAATTACTGCAACCATTCAATTTACAAACTCTATACTTGGGTAGTCCCTGGGCAAAACCATACATATAAAACTACTATCTCAGGAAAGAAAAATATTCACCTATGAGAGAATCTGTTCCCCTCATTTTCAGTTTGTGCCCATGAATAGTTACCTGTTTTCTTCAGTGTAACTAAACTTCCCTTTCTATATTTAAAAAACAAACAGTATTCAGTTACTTTTTGTTATTTTGTTTATAATTTTTCATAGCACAGGTGTGATTCTATGCGAGCACACTGGATGATCCTTTAAATTATAAAATGTATAAATTTCAGTTAATACAAATAAATGCATATATGTCATGAGTTGCCTAATGATGAGGATAGCTTCTAAGAATGTCACTGTAGTTGTGCAAACATCATAGGGTGTTAATTACATAAGCATCATTGAGTGTTACTCACACAAACCTATACAATAGATATAGTCTATTACATATGATATAGTCTATTGCTCCTACAATATAAACCTGTACAGCATGGTGCTGTACTGAATACTGTAGGCAGCTGCATCACAATGGTATTTTTATATCTAAATATATCTAAAAATAGAAAAGGTACTATAAAAATATAGTAGTATAATCTTATCAGATTGTATATACGCAGTCTATCATTGACCAAAACATCATTATGTGGCAAATGACTACATTTAAATAATAAAAAGTTCTTTAGTTCATCTAAATAAAGGCATTTTTGTCAATCAAATGTTGTGCAAATAGCACATTCCATAGTTTCCAGCTTATTCTCACCCAATCATATACTACCTCAACAAGTTAACAGAGTATGATACAAACCAGATTTGCACTAATATAAATTTATCTTTCGTATCTTAGAGCACAAAAGGGGACACTTTATATGTTAGGCCATTCTTGCAATTACTATAAAGAAATACCTGAATCTGGGTAATTTTTAAAGAAAAGGGGTTTAACTGGTTCACAGTTCTGCAAGCATTACCGGAAGCATGGTGCTGAGCATGTCTGCTGGGCTTCTGGTGAGGCCTCAGAGAGCTTTTACTCATGGCAGAAAATAAAGGGGAAGCGGGCATTTTACACGGTGAAAGTGGGAGCAAGGGAGGAAGGAGGAAAGTGCTACATATTTTTAAACTCTCTTACAATTGTGAGGACAGCACCAAGGGAATTGTATTAAACCCTTCATGAGAGATCTGTCTCCATGAACAATCACCTCCCACCTGGCCCCCATCACCAAGACTGGGGATTGCAATTCAACATGAGGTTTGGCAGGGATATATATCCAAATTACATCAATTTGTGTACTCAACTTGTCTTTAAACCTATGATGGGCACACAGACATAATAAGATCATTTTACATATATACTATTCTATAGAGGATTTCAAAACAAGGATCTAAATTATGCTCTTAAAGTGATTTATAAATGTAACCTTTGATTCCTCATTCACCAACAAATAAGAGAATTATTGGCTGTCCAGCTTTTTGCTCAAGCACAAAAGAAATCCTAGTTTTCACCTTTAAAAAGACAGATGGGGACCCCTGAATTTCCAGTTTGCTGAAATGAAATTTAATTGTTAGATTAAAATTTGAAAAGGGCTCATATAAAATAAAATAGCATTGGTGAATGGAGGCATAGATCACCTTTAATAACAAAATTCCAAAGAGAAAAAATTACAGAATATAAATATAAATATGTGTAAATTTTCTCAACAAAGAAAGCCCGGTACAAATACTTTCCCCAAAAGAGAGATGTCTATGTGCCAATGACACAGTATAAATTAGAATTTGATGTATTTTTGACTATTATGAAATAGGTCCTCATGAACTGAAGTTCTGCCAAAACAGAGAAGCCACGGTAGGAAGAAAAAGAATCACTGGGAATTCAGTAATGTAAGTCATATTTGCTTTAATTACCTTAACTCTATAAACTTAAAATGGTAGAATGAGGTAGGAAACCCTCTTCTGCAACATTTATTTTGTGTTACACATGAAGATGCACATCAAGCACTTGTCTGCTGCCCACATTTCTCATCCTGCTTGCAGTTAGATGGTATAATGTCACTTGTGACTAATGAGCTGTGACATGTGTTACTTCCTAAATAAGGCTTCGGAACACCCATGAAGGTTCTCCAGTCACTGTCTTTTCTTGCCACTAAGATAAAGTTCTGTGTCCCAAATGGTGCAACCACAAAATGTAGAGCCTCAGTCAGCATGAGTTTGTGGGTGACTACACAGTACAAATCCCCCCAATGACTTGCTATGCACATAACATAAATAATAAATAAATTGCCATTGTCCCTGAATGCCATGGCTAATTAGGAACTACAATACAATCTAAGTTGACTTGAATACCTTTCAAAATCAAAGAGTTGGTCATATCAATGGTCTGTTCTAAACTACTTGATAAAACAGTACCTGCCTCCATTCCTATTGCATGTCTGGAAACCTCCTTCACACCCCCATGTCTTGGCTCATAAACTGCAGTCTCACTGGAAACAGACATAAACATCATTTCTCTTTCATCTGGGAATCAGTTTGCTGAACACTCATTTCTATCTACTAGGTTTACCCCTAATGACTAACCAAATCATAGCTAAGTAAAAATATTCTCAAAACAACTCAAATAGTTTTTTAAACCCATCAAAAAGGAAGGTCTTCCTTTGTAAATCTATTTGGAGAATTTTCTGTCTTTACTTCCAGGCCCAGACTTTAGATTTATAGCACTCTCTTTTTACTTGTTGCTTTTGACAGAAGACGCCCTTCCAAATGGCATTTCTATACGTACATTCACAGTTAGTTAGTTACCATATCAGTCGATGCTACACTTCAAAAGTAGAAGGAATAGATATTTAACTGTCTCATTTTTTTATAGATGAGAGAACCAAAACTATAAGAGTTAGTAATTAGCAGAGCCAAAACCTGAACCTGAACTTTTGGGTGTTATTATTAAAACTCTATATTACATAGCCATTTATCAAAAAAAATAGACCATACTCAAATTTTATCATTCAATTTTTATAAAATTACCCAACATGAAAACTTTTTTTTATCCCTGTGATATATAACAAAATTCTAACAAAATTGTGATTCTGAGTCATGATGAGTTTCTTCAAGGCATAATTTTTCTTATACATTCTCAACTTTAAGTTTCAAATCTTAATATATTTCTTAAAAGCAAACGGCATTCAAACAATTTTTTTTATCTTGTCGTATTATGGGGGACATATTATCCCTACCTAAACTTGCCAGTTAGTTACAGAAGTTTGCATTACATTTACTGAATACTTTTTACATATAAAAACATACTTAGAAACATATAATTGATTTGAAACCTGAATGCAAACATTTCAGTTTATTGTCATGAATATCTCCCAAGTCTTGCTAAGCTTTTGGTAACATTTACAAAGGAAAGCAGAGGCCTTAATAAGGCATTGTTAAGTAAGCTTCATTAACAGTAATGATGATTGACATCTTCCAAACAAATTAAACAGACAGATAAATAAATAAATAACCTCCTCCTAAGCAGCAATTATTGGGTATTTTAAAGTATATGGATAATTATTAATCTCACCTATGATTTCACATATATAAACACAGCCTAAACTTGTACATTTTTAAGAAAAATATAGTAATGAATAGTCACAACCTTTCTCCTGCACACTGGTTTTCCTATTAGGGTAACCCAAACGCCCATGAAGTCTTTAATATTGTGAACCAAGTTTTTAAAACTTTCCTTTTCCTGTCATCTTGTCTATCTAAATCTGAGCTTATTAAACAGTGCTGCTATAAACAGTGCTGTAATAGAGTCGATGACTTCATCTTTTCCCAGTTATGGTATGAGTTTGATAAGCTATGTTTCTGTATTATTCATGGTAAATTTAAGAATAGGTTTGTAACGTAGACTGTATCTGCATATATCTGAATAGATATATTTTGAAAATGGCAAAGAATGTCTAATGAGCACTGTGATTCAACCTCTTCTGATTTCTTGGAAGTCTGTAGTGTCCTACAGAATCTAGCACAATATACAACACAAAGTAGATGTGAATAAACACTTGTAAACTTGTAAACATCATAGGCCAAATTCAGGCTTTTGTTAGGGGTACTGTCTGTATATTCAATTTTCCTAGCAATCTTATGCATATCTTTATAGACACAAACAATCAAAGTCATTTGGTCAGTTTAAAAGTCATTTCTGAGTTTAAAGTTTAAGTGCCTGAAATGTCATTTGAGATTTGATATCATTTGAATAGAGATAAGAGAAAGAAAGGCTGAGGTAATATTTAACTGAAAAGAAATGAAGTGGTAAAATAAAAATACTTCCAGAGAATAAAAACTTAGATTATAAAATGCCTTCTGAAGTCTTTTATAATTGATATGAAGTGGAGGTGGTATTACTTTTTCTAGTCAAGTGACCATTCATACTAACATGCTATAAGTTCCTCAATCGTAAATGCCCACCAGCCATGGTGTGCATAGCTTCAGCTAATGATAGCATTTTGAGCTGTATTTATGAGTTTGTTACGTAATTTGTTATCAATATCAGCCTTGTCTTTGTACTTTTAGAACACAGAGAACAGGTACCTCTCCTGGCTGGAGAGTTGAATGGCTTCCAAGCCAATGATCTTATGCAATGTTTAAGTTAAATCAGTAACAAGGAAAACCTGATAAGACTGGTTTAAAACCTAATCAGGTTTGATATCCAAATGCTAAGGTATTCTTGACTATTCTTATTAAATGCTCCCAGAAGTGCTATGGATCTAATACTTGTGACACAGTCTCAAGCAACACAGACTCATGTTTTATTAATCTCTGAATCTTTCTGCAAACATTAGGTGACAACTGAGCCAGATTTCCTCTAAGTTCAGATCAGTCACAGGGAATGAACTATTTTAGTAGAAGACAGATAAGCCTTTCCATAGAATATTCCTGATGAACTAGCCCTTACCATTAGGAAAACTTGTCAGTAAAGGGTCACACAAAGAAGCTCAAGGTAAGCACAAAAATGAAGCGAGCCTTAGACACTTTTGGGAGTACTATGCCACTCTAACTAGCTCCTTAGGTACTAAAATGCAGGTGTTAGATGATACTTTTGGAAAAGAGCAAAATAGAAAACTTGGATCACTTACGGAAAAACACTGTAGTTATTCAAGAAAGTTTCAACTAATACAACAGATGTAATTAAAACCTTTAAACTCTAAATGAAAGAATGTACATAAATATGTTTCACATCTCTTCTGTTGTTGTATGTTAAAGTTTTAATAATTTCCCTATTTCTCAATTTTAAGTATTAAATAAAAATTGTGGCTCTTCTTATACTAACAAAAACATCTCCATTTACTAAGCATCTATTTGTACCAAGTACTGGACTAAAGGGGTTACACATCTCAGACATGCAAAAGACTACTACAAAGTGGATATCACAGTATCCATTTTTATGGCTGAGTAAATAAACTCTTAAGTTTAAGGTAACTTATCCACCTCGGGATACAGAGTTGAGAAATCAATCAAGTCTATGATCCCAGAGACTGTGACAACAATGCCTTACATATTTACAGTATTAATAACACACAATGAGGATGTGGAGGCATGTCAAGTGTGCATTGAACATATATAAAACCAACTGTGTGGGTTCATGAAACATAAAAGAGAGTGAATTAAAATCATGGTGACAGTTTGCCTGCTTTTAGACTTAATGAGCATGCAAGTCAGATTGCAAACACAGATCTGCTATTCCCTTCATCATGTTACTTCCCTCCTACCTCTCACAGTATTAGCTTCTTTGGATTCAGAGGATGACTCCAGCGTTAGAAGATAGATATCTTCATAGAAACAGGCTCCCAACACCAAGCAAACTTCTCGTTTGATGCTCAGCAGCCCCAGCACTGCAGGGAAGCTAGCTGGGTTGGACCTACTATATTATAGTACCTTGGTCTCTATGTGCCACCTTCTTTAAGGATGTAAACTCCATAAGCGAAGAATAATCTACTACTCTGTTGACTTTTCTAACCCCATGCCTGGTATATGGTAGGCCCTTAATAAATATCTGTTGATGTATGGTTAATTTAAATGCAGTTCTACTATATTCTGCATGCTGGTTTTCCAACACTGACAATTGGCGACGCTGAATTATCCAGGACTCCATCCCAAACCCTCCCCATTTAATTCTAACCAGTTTGTCAGCATTTACTTAAAGAGAGATTTCCAATATCACAGGATTCTAGAATCCAAGGAGTATGTAAAACCAGCCATTAGAATACCCACTTGGGCCCAAAGTAGTAGAAGGCTCAAAGCCAACTATCGACAAATTCAGTGACTTAACCTAATGTATCCAATATTATCCAACCTGACATAACTTGCAGCACTTTTAAAAACACCAATACCCTGGCCCTCACTTAAATTTAAGTGGTCTCAGGGCGGGCC
The DNA here is from genome assembly GCF_000001405.40 of Homo sapiens. Taxonomy (NCBI): domain Eukaryota; kingdom Metazoa; phylum Chordata; class Mammalia; order Primates; family Hominidae; genus Homo; species Homo sapiens. Next base: position 716,899 of record NT_187556.1, read on the forward strand.
TGGCACAGTTTGCTTTCTTAGCTTCCAAAAGAATCTAAACCGTCAAGTATGATCACCTCTGACCTTTGACTAATCTCCGAATCAAGTGTTGGCACAAGGCCAATACTACAATAAAAGATAATATTAAGTATGGTGATAGAGAGCATTTCTCCTTCTAAATTATTTCATATATAAATCAAACCACTAACTTGGGCCTCATTAATACTAGGTCCCTACATCAAACACAGGTTTCTTAGCACATAATAGCAATACTGAAATGGAAACCATTAACTACTATAAAAATTACAAAGTAATGTCCTACTTGAGAGTTTGAGAGAGCCTTCGGGAAAAAATATTCTCACTTTAATGATTTACAATGTTAGTTCAATTTTATAAAGCAATTAAATGAAGCAAATCCAGTACTTAATTTTTGAAATTTGACTCTCTAATGTGCATACATAACCTTCCCATGTTCACAATAAAAAATAATGCAAAATGCACAGATGTCCTCTCATTCCAAAATTGCTGAGTTTGTTTTGTAAGTCACTGGATTTAAATCTACAGGTGTCAGAAAATTAACAGGTCCCAATTTCACTGAAATATAGACATGAAAAGCAAAGGCTCACACACAGGGACAACAGAAAGCAGAGACTAAATTTAATGAATAAATTTAGGGTGACAGAGAGCAGAGAATATAAACTGAAGGAGGAACTAAGATGAAAAGAAAGGGATAGAGCCATGATCAACACTTACTCTATTTAAACAAACAAAACAAAATCCATTCATGTAAGAGGAATTCCAATAAAAGGAGAGATGTATTAACAATAAACTGTTCTGTTAAAAAAGAAAAAAAAAAAACGTCAAAGTGCAGACAAATCTGTGACGAGGCCAATGACCAAGATCCTGCTTTTACTGGTTGCTTCCTCTGACTAGTTGGAGCTTCCTTTGAATAATCCTAATTTTCCCCCAATGAAACTTTATCATTCCTGTCAACTCACTTCCAATTTATTTTTAACACAAAATAAATGCTACTAACTCAAGATTGCTACTAACTGGAATGAGGAGTATCTGAGTCAGAAATTATTTTCCTTTAACTCTTTAGGACCACAAAACCTAGAGTGAGGGGTGAGCCATGACAATTGTCACCTTAACTCCAAGTAGCTACGTGCTCTTCACCAAGCAAGTACTGCTACTTCTCTGCAACTAAGTTTCCATGTCTGTAAAGTAAGGCATTTGGACTAGGTTTCTACAGTACTCTCTAGTTCCAAAGTACAATACAATTATAGACTACAATAATGGTCTTTAAAATTCAGGCACCAGGAAGTCTTTCCATTATTCAGAGGCTATAGAAGAATAAAACTCTTCACTCTATTTAAAAAAACAAAACAAAACAAAAAACAAACAAACAAAAAAAAAAACACACACACAGCAATAACAACAAAAAAATCACCCAAGAGCTAAACTACATAGTTGACTTAATTCACGTTCTTTTAAAGAGCCTTGGCTTTGCATGCAGTTTAAATTCTACCATCACTTCACAAGTCAAGTTTCCTGCCTTTAAAAGATATATTACACATTTTACCAAGGGAAAGAGGTTATTTCCCCATTACTGTCCCACCACTCTTTCCTTGAAATTTTACAGAATCATTTCCCACTTCTATATTCCTGAAGAAAAGGTGGCAGTTTTGAGAAGTGCAGTAATGATTATAGAGAGTGAGCTCTTTTCCAAAGTACAGTTTAACTTTGAAGAGAAAAATGAAAATATTCCATATGTAAATAACGTTTAAAGGCAGGGAACCCCAGGTAAAACCTCAGATATAAGAACAATATAGATAGACATTTTACAAGAACAATATAGATATTTTATAAGACATTCAAAATATATCAGATCCTGGTCTGATAAATAGGAGTTTAAGTTAGGCTTCTACCTGGTAAACAAAATACTGCATGTGAAAACTGACTATTCTTTATTCTTAAATTCTTGACATACAAAAGAATATTTAAAGAAATTTAGCTGTATTCCATGTTCAAAGAATTATATTTAGTAGGTTAAATGTTAATAAATTTATAGAAATTACTGTCTTCCAAACTCACATGTATTGAGAAGCTGAATAGATTATGAAAGTTTAGCAATTTTTTAAAAAGCTTTAGAAATTCATTTAATTTTTAACCTTTCTCTCATATTTTAGTAAATGCTCTTATGGCATATGCCACAAAGACGTGGATGCCATGTTTCTGAAGAATATTTTATAGCTATGCTAGTGAGGAAATCTATTCCAGAACTGAGCACTTTGTTCCAATGATGGGAGGTAAGAGGATAGTAGCAAACAGAAGTTCCTTTCTTCTAAAGCAGACAGTCTTGTAAGAGAAAAAAAAACATTCAAACTTTGAAACCATTCAAAACTTGAAACCATTCAAAATATTTATGGTCTAAATAAACATTTGTTAATTTTTTACCATGTAGAAGATTAAAAGCAAAGCTTGAATGGACAGGATACAATAATGAGCAAGAAATGAAAGCTGCATTTCAGAGGCTTAGAGTTTACAGAAAGGACATATCATTTGTTCCCTTGCACATAACAGAATCAAAATAAATATTTTTAAAATAAGTATTAAAACAAAAAGTGGTTCGACGATAATAGCTTGTGCATATTGTAGTACTTGCCTTCCACCCACAGAGCTTAATGTACTAAATTACAAACATCATCATCCACCAGGGCATCCCTGTTATTGATGTAGCTGGAAAGTATTAGTCATTCCTTACTCAAATGAGGAAAAGATTTTGGAAGGTTAAATTAGTTGCTCACAGCTACAGAATAAACAGTAAAATAGGGAATAGAACTCAGGGTCCCCTAAGCTATTGCCCCTGATATACATTTTTTCATTTCCTAAATAAAATATTTCTCCTTTATAGGCCTTTAGGGTCTCAAATATTTTTTCATAGTAATATTATTCATGAAGCAGTGCCTTTTTAACATCAAGATAATTCATCATATCATCTTAGCTTTTTTTACTTTAAAATCTACTTAAATGAGCATTACTTTTCTCATAAAAAATTTCTACCAGTAAAACTGTTAGGTTTTAAATTCAGGATTATCACATGATAGTTCAAATTTTTATATAAAAGTCCTATCAAAAATCATCATTTGTAAATATGTTTTAGACTTTTGTTATTACTATTTTTAAAGTCAATTCATCTCACAAAAAAGCACGCTTAGCTTATTACTTCAAAGATTAAAAGATTCCCTTCATGATTTATTACCAAAATTCATCATTAAAGTCAAATCTATTTGCCTTGCAAATAATTTTAAATATTTGGTTCCAAGCAATAGCACCAACACTACTAAATACAAATCATGTTTTCCCTTTTTGTCCTTTGTTAACATCAGCAATAAGTTTACCATGTCTTGTGGCTATTGTTTCACTATACTTGAATTCTTAGAAGATTTCATTTGCCTCAAAACATTTCAAGAGAACAATATGAACAACTCAATTACAATCAGACAACTCAGTGAAATGAAACTGAATACAGAGAAATACTAGGATTTGTCTATGAATTATACCACGCTTTCCCACGCTCTTCCACTCTCACCACCCAATCAGCAAAAAAACTCAAAAAACACTTTCTTTGTCTTCGATTATTTCCCTTTACAATTATTATACTGTCGATTCATTTTATTAGTTACATCTGTTTCATCAGTTTGGACTCTATCTGTACCATAATGTGAAGTTAGTATAAAACAAACGGCTACTTCAATATCAATCAAATGAAACAACACTTTTATTGCCAAGCATTTCTAACTCAGATTGATAGCTTGTTAGCATATGATAATTTTACGTATTCTCATAAAAAGGTTTAATGCAATCTAGATTTAGTATTTTGACTACAGTTTCAATGTTGTCATTACAGATTTGAACTATAGTTCTACTATTAGTTACTATTAAAACCTGGAACACTTCAAAATCCATTACAATCTGCTGCTGTCATTCTCACACTTCATCAGCATATTTCAACAGTAGTTCATACTTTGGTTAAAGAGCCTCCTTCCTTCCAACTGTGGTTGTGGAGTCAACTCTAAGATACTGAAAGAACCCTAACTACTAACTCACCCAACCAATCACCATCTTTATCTTTTCTGAAAAACAAATAAATGCAATAATCTCAAGAAAGCAAGGCCAAATGCAGCCAGGCACCATGATGCACACCTGTAGTTCCAGCTACTGGGGGAAGGGGAGGCAGGAAGATTGCTTAAACCTGGGAGGTCGAGGCTGCAGTGATCCGAGATCGTGCCACTGCACCCCAGCCCTGGTGACAGAGTAAGACCTTGTCTCAAAAAAAAAAAAAAAGAGAGAGAGAGAGAAGCCATTCCAGATTTCATTCTTCATCACCAATTTCTCAGCTTTTTAATTACTCTGCTTAAGCTATAAATTCAATGGCATTTTAGTACAAGAAAAACTGGTTAGAGATTAGGACCTCCGAGGCACACAACTGCATGAAATGACATTTGCCTAGTTGACCTATATGTGTCCATTATTTTGGTCCTTTCCAGTTACTGCTTTTTCTCTCACATCAACTTAGTGATTCCCCTAGCTCTAGCCCCAACTTCTCGTTCTGTTTCCAAGTTCTGACTATAAGACTTTTATTTTAAATTGTCAAATAGAGTTTTTCAGAAATAGGTCTGCTAGCAGTTGCCTATAGCATAACAAAGGAATGGACTTCAAAAGCATGGCAAAAGAATACCAGGAAATGGTGATAAAAATAAATTAGAAGTGAAAAAGTAGAATTCAGGGAGAATCTGTAGAAAGGAAATGATTTTTTTAACGCTTTGGGTGTGGTAATTAAAATCATGTTCACCACAAGAACACTCAGGAACAAAAGAATCAAGTCAAAAATCAGGATTCAGTTTATTCCAACATTCAATGTATCAGGAAAACCAAAGATAAAGTGACAGAGGTACATTAGGCACATTGTATACATTGTTCATTTAATCCTCAAAGAGAATTTCCAAAGAGTTGAAAAGCAGGCCAGAAACCTAAGGGTAAATAAGGTCTATACCTGTAGTTGGTCTTTCCTATTAATACTTGATTTTAGGTTACTGAGGACAGATAATGATAATAAGGAGAGTTGATTTTCATTATGTTGTATTTTAAGTGCCCACACATGATACTCTGACAGGCATGAATGACTGGTATAAATGGCTACTCCATAGTACATGGAGAAGACCCCTACCTGGCTCTCAGAAAAGTGTCTAACTTTTCAGCACATCACAAACACATTTCTGGTAAGTCAGTGTCCTGAGTTTTTTCACTATAGCCTGCCAAATTTTGAAAAGAAAAATGGAATGAGGAAATGAACAGAACTGAGTACTCTGATATACATGAGTATGTGTGTGTATATGTGAATGTACCATACACTGTAATGCTGGGAACTAATGAGGGAGGTAATTTTAAAAAAAAAAAAAAATGGTGACCTAGGACTGGAAACATTCCAATGTATTTTTTTAGTTAGCATTTCCCAGTAAAAGCACAAAGTCTATGTGGCAAATGTAAGGGCCTATCAAAGACATTGTGCTAAAACTGCTAACCAACCAATTAGAATTATTCCTAGTGGTCACATATTCTTTTTAGAATTTTTCTATATACTATTTAAATAAAGTTGCAAGGCTTAGTCCTTGGACTTGACTCTTTGCAAAGCTGCGTTAGTTCACATTTTGATGTGCAGCACACAGATATCAATTAGGCACAGATGCATATGCAATAATCTACAAACAAAATCAGGATAACCTATTGCAACACAAAGTGCTACAAATGGTAGACACAAAACACGCACATCCTCACACACAATGCCTTGGCTTCCATTACATTGATGTTTATCATTAGTTGTATATTAAAATCACCTATGGGACTTTAAATACTAGTCCTAACTCAAACCAAATATACAGAAGTTTCTGGGGGTGTGGCATTAATCCTTTATAAAGAATGTCTGGTTTTTCTAAAATGCAGCCAGCTTCGAGAACCAGTGTTTCATAACTGTCTTACAACATTGCCTCGATGTTGCTTGAAATTATCTTTTCTTCTAGGCCTAGTATTCTGATTTTTCATTATGCTAATACTAACAGATAACATTACAAAGTGCTAAAGGTAACTATGCGATCAATATGCACCTATGCACAGTGGTCTAGAATGCAGGCTTCTCCATCTTTCATTCACCATTGTGGTAGTGATCACTCCAAATTTCTGTTTATGACACAAATCTTTGCCTGCCCATGAATACCCTTTAGTCTCAGTACTAGCAGTAGTTATCATTCTCTTGAGCAACAAAATTGTTTCTATTAATATTTGATTATATTTTATCTTATGTTACAATTAATTGTATTCCATTTCTTACTACATAAAACAAGAAAGGGTAAAAAGGCTTCAGAAATACAGATGTAGCCCCCATCCTCTGATTTTCCAGTACCTTTCCAGTACACATTTTAATATTAATCTCACACCTTGTTTGTTATTTATTTTCCTTCTTTCATGGATAAAGACAGAAAGGTAAACAGACGTTTAATCATTCTACCCTAAGTTCACCTGAATCATTCTCAGAATTTATTGATATATTTCTCAATATAGTGCATATTCCTCTGATGGCACAGTCCACTACTGCTTAGTTTCCTTTGTACATTTCTCTAAATCTTTGAACTCTAAACACTGGAGTAATGCATGTGTCGGTCCTTGCAACTCTTCTGCTCTCTATTCGTACCTATACCATTGTGATTTCATCCAGTCTCATGGTTTCAAAGACCATCTATACAATAAAGACTCCAAAGTGTGTATCCCCAGCATAGTCCTCTCCCCTGATAATCAGACATGCATATCGATTAAGTATTTCAAACTTAACATCTCTAAAACCTAACTCCCATTCTTCCCAAACATCTGCCCCTCTCACATTCATCCCCATCTCAGCTCATGACTATTGTGTCCTTCCCAGTGCTCAGGCTAAAACAATATTCACTCATCCATGACTCCTATCTTTCTCTCACACCAGAAATCCAATCCGTCAGCAAATTCAATTTACCCTAATATTTAATAACCATCTCTGATTATATCCTGGCCCCAAGTTATAATCTTCTCTGACTTGGATTATCACAACTGCCTAATAGCTAGTTTCCCTGATTCCACCCTTGTCCCATCCCAATGTCTACTCTCCACATCCCGCACTCAGTATGACCCTGTCAAGATAAAATCATGTCACTCCATTTAGAACTTTGTGAAGTACTGATAATAGCCATATACAATCAGTCCCCTATTACTACTCTGACTTTATCTCCTATAACAATGCCTTCCACTCTTTTCTTTAAACCAAATTGGTCATCTTATTCTTCCTCAAATGCCAGGCATGCTCCTAGTTCAAGGACTTTCCACTTGCTGATCCCTATGCCTGGAATGCTTTTCCCCTAGATAACTGCATGGATACTCCTCCACATCTTTTAGGTCTTTAATTTTCTCCATGGTACTTAGAAACACTGCATTATTATTATTATTATTATTATTATTATTATTATTATTATTATTATCCTTTTCCCCATCAAGGTATAAGCTTCTCTGGGGCAAAGAATTTTGTCTATTTTGTTCACGGATTTAGCCCAAGTGCCTGGAAGAATACCTGGCACACAAACTGTATAAGTTTGTTTTCATGCTGCTGATAAAGACATACCTGAGGCTGGGTAAATTATGCAGGAAAAGGGGTTCAATGGACATACAGTTCCACGTGGCTAGGGAGGCCTCATAATAATGGCAGAAGGCAAGGAGGAGCAAGTTATGTCTTACATGGATGGCAGCAGGCAAAGAGAGCTTGTGCAGGGAAACAACCTTTTTAAAAAAAAAAACATCAGATCTCATGAGACCCATTCATTATCACGAGAATAGCATGGGAAAGACCTGCCCTATGATTCAATCATCTCCCACTGGGTCCCTCCCACAACACATGGGAATTATGGGAGCTACAAGATGAGATTTTGGTGGGGACACAGCCAGATCATAACATTCCATCCCCGGCCCCTCCGAAATCTCATAACTTCATATTCCAAGCCAACCATGCTTCCCAAATAGTCCCCCAAAGTCTCAGCTCATTTCAGCATTAACTCAAAAGTCCACAGTCCAAAGTCTCATCTGAGACAAGGAAAGTTCCTTCCATCTGTGAGCCTGTAAAATCAAAAGCAAGTTAGTTACTTTCCAGATACAATGGGAGTACAGGCATTGGGTAAATACAGCCCTTCCAAATAGGAGAAATTGGCCAAAACAAAGGGACTACAGGACCCATGAAAGTCCAAAATCCAGCAGGGCAGTCAAATCTTAAATTCCAAAATGAGCTCCTTTGAATCCATGTCTCACATCCAGTTCATGTTGATGCAAGAGATGGGTTCCCATGGTCTTGGGCAGTTCCACCTCTGTGGCTTTACATGCTATAGCCCCTCTCCTGTCTGCTTTCATGGGTTGGCATTGAGTGTCTGTGGCTTTTCCAGGCACACAATGCAAGCTGTCAGTGGATCTACTATTCTGGTGTCTGAAGGACAGTGGCCCTCTTCTCACTGCTCCACTAGGTGGTGCCCCAGTAAGGTACTCATTGTGGGGGCATCAACCCCACATTTCCCTTCCACACTTCCCTAGCAGAAGTTCTCCATGAGGGCCCCACCCCTTCAGCAAACTTCTTCCTGGATATCCAGGCATTTCCATACAGCCTCTGAAATCTAACTGGAGGTTCCCAAACTTTAACTCTTGACTTTCATGTACCTGCAGGCTCAACACCATGTGGAAGATGCCAAGGTTTGGGGTTTCCACCCTGTAAGGCAACAGCCAGAGCTACCTTTCAGCCATGGCTGGCATGACTGAAACACAGGGTACCAGGTCCCTAGGCTGCACAGAGCAGGGAAGCCTTGGGTCCGACTCACAAAACCATCTTTTTCTCCTAGCCCTCTGAGCCTGTGATGGGAGGGGCTGTTGTGAAGACATCTAACATATCCTGAGACATTTTCCCCATTGTCTTGGTGATTAACATTCGGCTCCTCATTACTTATGCAAATTTCTGCAGCAGGCTTGAATTTCTACTCAGAAAATGAGATTTTCTTTTCTATCACATTGTCAGGCTGCAAATTTTCCAGACTTTTATGCTATGTTTCCCTTTTAAAACTGAACACCTTTAACAGCACCCAAGTCACTCTTGAATGCTTTGCTGCTCAGAAATTTCTTTCACCAGATAACCTAAATCACCTCTCTCAAGTTCAAACTTCCACAAATCTCTAGGGCAGGGGCATAATGCCACCAATCTTTTGCTAATACGTAACAAGAGTCACCTTTGCTCCGGTTCCCAACAAGTTCCTCATCTCCATCTGAGACCACTTCAGTCTGGATTTCATTGTCGATATCATTATCAGCATTTTGGTCAAAGCCAAATGTCAAAGCCCAAGTCAACAGGTCTCTAGGGAGTTCCACACTTTCCCATATTTTCCTGTCTTCTTCTGATCCCTCTAAACTGTTCTAACCTCTGCCTGTTACCCAGTTCCAAATCATTTCCATATTTTTGGGTATCTTTTCACAGCACCTCACTCCTGGTACCAATTTACTGTATTAGTCCATTTTCACACTGCTGATAAAGATGTAACGTACCTGACGTTGGGTAATTTATGCAGGAAAAAGGGTTTAATGGACTTACAGTTCCATGTAGCTGGGGAGGCCTCACAATCATGGTGGAAGGCAAGGAGGAGCAAATCACATCTTACATGGATGGCAGCAGGCAAAGAGAACTTATGCAGGGAAACTCTCTCTTTTTTAAAACCATCAGATCTCGTAAGACCCATTCACTAACACGAGAATAGCATGGGAAAGACCTACTCCCTTGATTCAGTCATCTCCCACCAGGCCCCTCCCACAACACATGAAAATTATGGGAGCTACAAGATGAGATTTTGGTGGGGACACAGAGCCAAACCATATCATGTACCATTAAATATATATTTGTTAAATGAATATATGACTGACTTGTAAGTAATAGACAACTGGAACTGCCTAAATTTTCTTCATCATAGTACTTTGATTTGTATTTCAAAATCATATTCAGCATCTTGAGAAAAGTTAAAAGGGATATGAAAGTGATCAACTTCATTAAAGCAAGAAGCAACCAACAAAAAAAAAAGAAAAAAAACCCAGAATCAAAGTTTACTAGATAAAGAAAATGTTCTTAACTACAAAATAAATGGAAAAAAAAAATGTCCTAATTAACATGGAAGGTCAACTAAAATGAGAACTACATGTAATTTTCACTTACTCTACAGACTTTAATCAACTTCCAAACTGTTACAAGCATATAAATTAGGCTGAATTTTAAACACATTAGAATTCTTTCTTTCTTACTGTTGAAAAAGAGCACATGTTTCTTTGCTCTGCTTAACTCCAATATAGTCAAGAATTATATTTCAGAAGTAATCTGTGATCATGGTTTGCTTTTTAGACTGTGTTTCACAAATCTTCACAAAAATAGATTGAATTTAACCACAAATATTAAGGTGAAAGTTATATTTCAATAAATATAAACCATAAGTTACTTTCATCTCTATATGTAATTAAGAAATTATTACATTTATGAACTAGAAAACAAATATAATTAAGTAAAACATAAGTTAGGCCTTGCTTCTGGACAAAACTGAGTAGTTCCTATTGAACCAATCTTCCCAAAGATAACAATTATAAATAACAGAATTTTCGGATGTTTGATGCAGCATTAATTTTGAAAGCAAAACAAAAAATGTACATGCTATCTGGTCATGATTTCATAAGTAAATATACACAGACACACACAGAGATGTACATACAAACAACAATGCACACAAACATAGACTTAGAGGTAACAAAAAATGACATCAAAAGATTGATGGTGATTTTCTCTTGGTTATGAGACTTATGTATAATTTCCATGTTTTCTAACCATTTTTGTTTCATTCATATACATGTACAAATGTTAAAATAAGAAAATAAGCATGAAAAAAATTTCCACTGAAAATACAAATAAAGAAAAGTCTTGAGAAAAATACCTTTCAGGAATCTGACTATAAAAATTAGATTCTAAAATAATTACTGCTAATGTATATGCATAATCGTTCAAAGAAGTCCAAAGAATACTATGTGAAATATGCCATATAACTGAAAATATATACGTATCTCACTTTTGGAGAAATTTTACAGAGCAGAATTTTGTCACTTCCTGCTTTCATCTATTTTCTTCTTATAAATGCTGTTTTCACCTATGCATAAATATCTTCTAGTTTTATCTCCACTCCAATATAATTCTTACCCTATGCAAAGTTCAAGTAAGATTGAAAATAACAGAGGAAAGTAATGAGTTACTTGCTATTGTTAAAATGACCTTAGAGATTAAACTTTAAGAAGCTATTTTAATTATTGAATGTCTATCACAGTAAAGTACTATTCAAGGCACTATTAAGAAAGAAAGAATATAATATAGTACCTGATTATTTGCCACTTGCCTCATCTTCCTGATATCTTTCTACTAGTCTGTCTAGTTTCTGACTAAATGTTCTACTCCCTGTTCTTTTTGGAAACTGGTGACTCCAAGTTCAGCTACTTTATTTGAACATACTCCAGTTTACTGGTTCTTCCTTTCTACTCTCTCTATCTCTGTACTCTGCCATTACTACCTAGAGTCATGGGATAAAATACCATGAATCGAATAAATGCTATATGATGCACTGCCATGAACCATGTGATTGAGTCTCATTCTTTGAGATATTGACTAGTAAAATGACATGGAATAATTAAAGATCCAAGTATCAATCCATTTACATTACCAACACAATACACTTGTTACTTCGTGAGATTATAAAAACATACTTCAACTGTTTTCAAAGTATGTTCACAATCATGTATTATTTTGGTTCTTACAACTACTTTCTGGGAAAAGAAGGACAAATAGGAAAGTCTTGATTTTACCTTTAAGAAAGAGAGGACAATCTGTCCATGTCATGTGGTGTAAGTGCTAGAGTCCAGAGCCTCAGTCTTCCAAGATAAGAAGTTCTTTGGCAGAAATGCCTCAGTTGCTTTCTTTTACTTCATAAGGTATTGAAGAAAAGGAACAATTTTTTATATTTCCAAAAACAGCAAATCCTTTACAGCTGTAGATATTCTCAGACTCTTATGAAACATTTGGTAAGTCACATGTTCCTTTCTAACACTAGTTGGCTAGACAGAGGGAAAAAGCCTTGACCTTCCAGGGCATTCACTTTAGGAATGGATGGCAAACTGTCTGTTTATTTTGTTATTTCATAATATTTGCTATCTAATATTTTGTTGTTTAATAATATTTGTGTGCTTGTTGGTTTGTTTTTACTTATGTCTTTAATTGTAATAATCAACATTAAGTTGCAAGAAATGAAAAACACAATGCTCAAAGTAATTTATCTAAGCATTCCCATGGACAATAGGTTAAGTATATGGAAGAAAAAGGATGAAGGGGATTTTCCAAACCCTGCTCAGCCTGGATGTAAACCCTAGCAAACGGGCTTTCATCTCAATAGTATAGCAAAAGGGACATAAAAAAGATGTGTTCATCAATAACAGAAAAAACCTACAGATATTAGCCTCAGGAGAGAAAAAAATTCACACAATAATTCTTTGAGAATAAAGAATTTTACATCCTTTAAATTCTGGATATAGCTAACTCTCCTTGAAAGGATGAAAATAAAATTAAAAGGGTGCAAAGGAGACTCTGTAGAAAAAAGTATCAACTTTGATTGCATCAGCACAAGATACCAGACTTGGAGATGAGCAAAGTGGGAGTTTTGTTTCCCCTTATAAACGCAACCTTCCCCAAGGGCTGTGCCTTAGAGACCTGTTCAATGTTGTACTCTATAGAATTCTGCTACTATTCTGCGTGATTATTCTGATATTCTGTGTCTAATACATTCTTGGAAAATCACACACCTTCCTACACACAGACATACACACACACACACGTGTGTGTGTGTGTGTGTGTGTATGCAATATTACACTTTTAAAGGGTTTATAAACCCCGTAAACACATCCATGGAGCTGCAGGTTTAAAGGAATCTGCATTTGACATACAAAGTAACTGAAAATACATTAATTATCATAGTATGTAAAAGGGACCTACAAAGAGCAGAGAGAATTTATCCTTCTCTCATTCTTCAACAGACGTAACCAAGGCACAGGTAAGACAGCCAACCTATCAGATTTCTCATTTTAGAACAAGAATTCGTAGCTAACAATCTGGGCACAGCCCAAACATCTGAAAACAGGTTAAAAAATTACTCAAATATGTAGAATCCAAGTAAGTATCTTACAAGTTCTACTGTAAGCCATAAAACCAAAATCTGTTTGTGCAACAGAATATCCAGATTTTTAAATATATGACAATAAACTCTATCAGACAGTTTTAAACCCATTTTTTTTCAAATCTAGATATTTGCTGGTGCTTGCTTGTGTTTTTGCAGTGTGAGATACTTTTAACAATTTTTCCAGTGTCTCAGCTTTAAATGTTGTTGCATAACTTCTTCCTTGGCCTTATGACATTATAGACTGCAGCTGCTGTCAACATTAAGTAAAATTCAAAGTAAAAGGGTGTATTTCATTAGAAAATTTTTTAATTAGAATGACCACAAAGCAATTCAATAACCCACATGGAATAACTACATAAAAACAGTCTTAAGACTTGAGAAATAATAAACCTTTTCCCAAACTATTTCCATACCTCATTATTCTATCTTTGTTATAAAAATCATTTCTAGATATCATTATGCGTCAGAGTGCAAAGCAACTGTACTCAGTGAGCAATTATATAACAAAGGTGATTTTCAGAATTGGATATAAAATAATTCCTAATGAGCTACTGAAATATTGTGATGAGAAAGTGCAATTTATTCCTTGCTTTTAAAAAAAAAGTAAGTGAAAGAAATTCAAACCAATTTCTTATAGATTAATGAGATTACTAACCGGCCGTGTCACCTTGGGCCAGAGGGAAGGAGGCAAATATTATTCATTCACCATCAGCTACATCCCAGATACTACCAGATACTGCACTCTGTATTTCATTTCACTGGTACAACAACATTTACAGAGAGAGAGAGAAATGTTATTATTCCTAATTTACTGATGGGAAAATGGAAGCTAAGAAAGGTTGTATGTCATGACCAAATCTCAAGCAATAAAACCTAGATTTAAATTCAGGTTACTCAGGTTCCTGTGTCAGTTTGCCTATTTCTACACTATTCTTTATTTGTAAAACGGAAGTTTAGACTAGAGATAATCTATAGAGTCTCTTTCAGATTTAACAGAAATTAATTTCAGGCCAGGCATGGTGGCTCATGCCTGTAATCCCAGAACTTTGGAAGGCTGAGGTGGATCACTTGAGCCCAGGAGTTTGAGACCAGCTTGGGCAACATGGCAAAACCCCATCTCTACAAAAAAATACAAGAATTAGCCAGGTGTGGTGGCACACACCTGTAGTCCCACTTGCTAGGAAGGCTGAGGTGGGAGGACTGCCATGACTGTGACACTGCACTCAAGCCTGGGCAACAGAGCAATACCCTATCTCAAAAAAAAAAAAAAAAAAAAAGGAAAAAAATCAATTTCAATAATGTTGAAAGTATTATAATGGTGCTAGTACCAAAATGGTTTATATGATATGCTGAGTTTGGAGATTCTGTGTGTAAAAATACTAGGAAAATTGAGCACAAAGAACTATGACTTCTATTATAGAATACTATCTTTTCAACTATATGTAATCATGTGTCCATTTAAAAATGGACAATAAATATTTAAAAGCAGCATAAAGAAAACCTATATGAAAATTCTTTTTTTTTTTTTTTTTAATAGAGTCTCACTCTGTCACCCAGGCTGGAGTGCAGTGGTGTGATCTCGGCTAACTGCAATCTCTGCCTCCCGGGTTCAAGAGATACTCCTGCCTCAGCCTCCCAAGTAGCTGGGATTACAGGCACGCACCACCATGCCTGGCTAATTTTTTGTTTGTTTGTTTGTTGTTTTTGGTTTTGTTTGTATTTTTAGTAGAGACGGGGTTTTACTATGTTGGCCAGGCTGGTCTCGAACTCCTAGCCTCAAGTGATCCTCCAGCCTCAGCCTCCCAAAGTGCTGGAATTACAGGTGTTAGCCACCACACCCAGCCAAAAATTATAAATTGTTTTTATTGACCATCCATTTCTCTTTATTTCTTCCACTCTAATGATTTCTTGGGACCTATAGGTGTCCACTTCCTAAACATAGATGTAGAGCATTTGAAATTTCAAAACAACTTTTGTACCACTGCTACTGGTTCAGTAAAAGAACTGCTCAGCCTGCGAAAATAAGAAACTAACATAAATGTCATCCTATTTTTTAAAGGGCTTATATAAATTTTATTACTAGGGAGAAACTTAGACTTTATCATAAGGAATGTGACATATGGCAACAATCAGCTCTTCCCACTGGCTTTTCTTCATTGACTTCAATTTTGAGTCAAAGAGAACAGAAGAAATAGTCACCACTGCTAAGCTAAGAAGAGTCTGTTTCTTGGTTCCAGTGGCAATGAAAATACCTGAATAATCCAGTTTAAAAAATCGAAATCAGTGCTTATTACATAAAGCAACATGTTCTTGTCACAATAGCATCCTTAATAGCAAAGTTTAACTATAAGACGTAACATGAAAAATATAATCTTCCAATACTGGGGCAAAGATCTAAACTTCCAAAGATTTCATGTAACATGCAGAAAAAAAAACATAAACACCATCAGTAGAATATTATTATAGTGTTATACGGGGCTGGAATTAAACCCACTCAGACAATCCTCTTGACCAGATCCATCCTATTCATTCATCTACGTTAAAAAGCTTCAAAAGGCCATTTTGCAATAGTATAGTGCATTAACAACAGTTAAATTCAAATCATTTTCTAAAATATTCCCCTTTTTCCTTTGTGTAAATTTATCATTCCATTTATGTATTCATTCAAAAATAATTTGAGTTCCAACATACTTATGTGTTCCAGAAGAAAGTTGAGAAAATCATGTTTCTATTTTTAAGCTTTTGAGCTATTCATAAAACAGTTATTTATCATAGGTCTATGTGCCAAACACAGTGCTAAACTGCACAACACTGAACGGTGGTATTGTTTCACCTTATTCTTAAGTATCAATTTCTTAATTCTATTGTCAAGAACAGTGTGGTTTTATGAACAATAGCATATCTTTAACATTGTTTTAACTATCATTATAGCCACAAAAGTAATAAGTCAAAATCATTAGTAGATTACATTCAGAAAAAATATTTTGACAGTTTAAACACATTTTTATTTTCTATAAAACATTAAGTTAAATTATTTCTTAGTCCCATATAAAGTAAAGCAATATACTAGAAACATGAGAAAAATTAAATACCCAAATGCTTTATACAGCTATTATTGAATTTATTTCTTAAACTTTTCAGAGAAGGATAATTTTTTTGTTACTTTAGCTGCTACTTTAGGAAATAAATTCCTATCCTTTTAGGCTTGCTCATTACCAACAATTACATCAAAAATACAATTTCAAATTAACTTTTCCCTTCCTAATAAATATTCCTTCTCATTCAAGACTCACTTTGACAACTGGTTGAAGGGGGACTTCTCATAGATATGTTCCACACGCACGATAGTCCACAAAATGTTGGCCTTGTCCATATTTTTATCAATAGAAAACTTTTCTTGGTTTAAAAACCAAATTTAATGGAGATATTTCTCAACATATAACTTAATAGAGATATCTCGCAATACAAAGATTTTTGGACAATATTTCTATTTTTTTTTTCCTGAGAAAGTATTTTTACTTATGACTCAAAAACTCAATATAATATGTAAATCAGGGGTGTCCAATCTTTTGGCTTCCCTAGGCCATACTGGTGTTAGGCCACATTCAAAGCTATCCTAGGCCACATGTGGCTGGTGGGCCATGGGTTGGACAAGCTTGATGTAAATAAAACCACCAGTGGAAAGAGTTTGTTGTGAGTTACATTCAAATACAACAGTTAGTAAAACATCAGAATAGTACAGATATTTTGAAAAGTTTAGAGTAACTACAAATGGAATGTGTGCAGAACATAATGAATTTAAAGAAATACATTGAATACAAGGCAATCGTGAAATAAATTATTTGGTGACCAGAAAAAATTTTTATTTTTTTTTTAAAGCTTTTGCTGTCAAATATTATATTAATGCCAGACTGGAATTAGGTTTTATCTCTGTTAAAATAACAAATTGATCTTAGTATTTTCAGTCTCCTCTTAAAAAGAGGTTACAAAAATTATTCCTAATTTCTGTTTAATCTGAGGAATGATTGGGTATCTCTCCAGGATAGTATTATACATATTAAGTTTATTTTATTATGGTTTTGATGATTAAAAACAAATACAACTTTATTTCTTGGAAGAGCTGAGTTTCCTTATCATTGTGTTACCTTCTATTTTATTTTTAAATATCAAAATTACTATATTAATATAATTAATATTATAAATATTAATATTAATAATTTTAAAATACTGGTATTATTCCTTATTTTTAGGCACCTGTCTTAATCAAGTGACCAATCTCCTGTGATAACACTTCTGATTCTTCCTTGCATGATAAAACAACAAATTCAGAAAAAATAAAAATTTCAAGAGGTCTTTTCTTCTAATCTGCCTTTGTGATTTCCTATAGGTCTTTGGACAACCGCAGGGATTCACTTCCTTGCCTTGTAAGATTAGGAACAATAAAAATAATTAAATTTGTTTGGTATGTTCCATATTTTTTAATTAGCTCAACACCATTATAAGGCTTGCATGAAAAAGAGCTTCAAATCAGATTAGTTCAACTTTCTGTGCATTAATTTTTTTCAGGTAATATAAAATGTGTCCAAAATAATTCAATTTATGGGAAGAACATGGCAAGCTGTTAATACAGTCATGTCCATATATTCTTACTTTCAGAGGAGCTGTTAACAAATACTTATTAAATAGTAAGTCTTATACCCTGATGGAGAATTTTTCTCTTTTCTAGTGTGATACGGTTGATTACTATAATAAATTAATCACAAGCATTCAGTCATTCAGCAGGTGGTTTCTGCATTCCTCCCATGCTTGCCTGAAGGCTCTGCTATTAACTATAGGCTCCACAGATTAAGTCTTCAAATACTGGCCTCAATAGAAAGTCAAAGATCAGGTACATCTAACTGTTATGTCTTCAAGGACCAGCCTCAAGGGTACAAGCTTCAGAGCTGATATCACCTAGACATCAGCCAGACTATACCAGGTTACTAAGCCAGAGTTTCTAGGATTGATGACTTCATGAAATAAACTATAATCCCCAAATTCAAGAGATAAATAATTAGTTAAATATAACTTAAAGGAACTCATGCAGTGAATCAATTTGGCATTATTTGTTTGGGAGATTTTCAGTATACTTTTAATGTTCTGTTTTTTTGATTGGTATATATAATAATAAAGCTTTTTATTTATCTTGATTTAATTTTAATCCTTGACTTAATAAAGGTTCTTTAATTGATATGTGCTTCTGACATCTAAGATATTCAGTAATAGATTTTTTTTCTACTTTTCTTTACTTTCAATGGCAGATAACTGGATAAATAACTAAGAATCGGCCTTTTCTTTAACCAGAATATAGTTTGACAAATCAAGTGTACAAATTGTTTGATTAAGAAGAACTTTTTTACTAAAACACATATGATAAGCTCACCAAAGAGACAAAGGCTGTGTATTTCATATGTGGAAACAATCGATACCTATAGAGCCCTCCCAGTAACAGGGTCTGTTACCTAGTCTGAGTTTATAGGGTCCCGGCCTGAGAGGAAATAGTTAATCCCTGGCAAGCAAGGAAGCTCAGCTCATTTGGGTGACATAAAAGAGGAAGGAATTCACCCACATTTATAAGAACTTCAAGTGAAATACTCCTAATGGAGATGGTTATTTTGAGTTGGTTCCTAAGCTTCTGAAAAGAAGAAGAAACCAAGTTTTGTTTTTTAAAATACTCTGAAGTAATAAAGGCTACTGAAAACACAATTCTAGATTTCTAATGAAATCTTCAAATAGATGTTAATTTTCCACTCTTACTAATTGTTTAATATTGCGTGACACTGGATATTTCACTCCTACTACAAGGCTCATGTCAATAAACACTTCTTGCTGCACCTATCTAAAGGAAACGGGCTGGGTGCAGTGGCTCATGCCTGTAATCCCAGCACTTTGGGAGGCCAAGGCAGGCAGATCACATAAGATCAGGAGTTTGAGACCAGCCTGGCCAACATGGTGAAACTCCATCTCTACTAAAAATACAAAAATTAGCTGGGCATGGTGGTGCATGCCTGTAATCCCAGCTACTCAGGTGGCTGAGGCAGGAGAATCGGTTGAACCCAGGAGGCGAAGGTTGCAGTGAGCCGAGATCGCACCACTGCACTCCAGCCTGGGTGACACAGCGAGACTCTGTCTAAATAAATAAATAAATAAATCAGACAAAAACAAAAGGATACCACTTTTTTGTTGTTTTAAACAAGAATCATCCTTGGATAATATTTACGATCCTAAGGGGGAAGTTTTAAGAAAAAATGTTCAAAACTTGGGACCCAGCACAAGAATGACTGTATATCCTTCACCAAAGGATTCGCTAATTATTTAAAAGTATGTCGCTTCATCTGAGTCACTAATTACCACTGATTAAGATATTTTACAACTCTGTGAGAAAAGACTTAACTTGTAGAACATTTATAGCAACACAAATGATACTCATATTATGATAATGCAAACAAATTTTGTCTAGTACAGAGGAAAATGATTTGTCTGTTAGTAAAGATAGCCTCATGGTTTCACTTTGATTGTCTTATTGGACATTTAGTATAAAATTTAGGAATCTTATTCCACCATTCTTTCTTTCACTGATTATAAATGTTTCCCTTATTCCTATAATCTTTTGAACCAGTCTTACTATCCTGCTGGTTCCCCTAATAATAAATTAATCTATCTTTAGCATACACTCACATACACAGTGTATAACACTTGACTCTTTCTTCGTTTTGGAGGTTTTTTTAAATAAAGTATGTTCCCTTATTTATTCCACATCATAAAAATCATAAGGAAAACAAGAGACAATGAAAAATTCTAGTGAGTAACAATGGCAGGTTAGAAAGATAAGGTAAGCTTACTAGGGGTAGGAAGATACTGCATATGTAACATATGCAGTAAATGCATGAAATTAAGGGAAACCTGATGCTAGGCTGAATAACGCATTAGAGCAGGGGCATCCAATCTTTTGGCTTGCCTGGGCCACCCTGGAAGAAGAAGAATACACTAACACTAACGACAGCTGATGAGCTTACAAAAAAAAAAAAGCAAAAAATCTCATAATCTTTGAAGAAAGTTTACAAATTTGTGTTGGGCCATATGCAAAGCTATCCTGGGCAGCATGTGGCCCACAGGTTAGACAAGCTTGCATTAGAGAATACAATGCTGTTTTAATAAATGCTTTATTTGTGCATTCTTCTAAATCCCACAGCTTTGAAACTCTACTTACAGATCTATGCTAACATATCTATATCAAAGAGTATCCCAGGAAAGTTTTTTGTGTTTATTTATTGATACTTATAAGACATAAGGAGGAGACAACTAAGAACCTCTTTTTCTTCAGGATACTGTTGTGTCTGAATTTTGTACCTGGAATAGCCATAGATTTTAGACCTTTAAAGAGAGATAGCCTGAGGTAAAAAGATGACCTACTGAATGGAGAGGCAAAGACATAAGAAAAAATCTGAATTATTGATGAAATCACTGAGCCACTGAATGAGCCAACTCTGGACCTTTTGTTATGCGAAAGTAGCCTTCCTTATGGTTTAAACACATTTGTAGTTGTGCTTCCCATTACTTGCACTGGAAAAGGCATAAGAGATACAACTTCTGCCACACCTCCAAGTCAGCCCTGAAGCTTTTTGCTGCAGTCTCTAAAGAAAGATCTCTACATATACTTGTTTTATAAAGTTCAAAGGTTAAATCCTTATCCTATATCTCTATATACCTGGATTCCTAGCCTTGCCTTTCCCAAGACATAAAACCTTTGATAATTTACTTAGGTTCACCTGACTTCAGTTCCTTCACCTACAGAATGATGTAAATACATATTCCAAAGGCATTTTGGGAGAATTAAGTGAAATGACATATTTTAAATGCTTGGGATCAGACAGAAGGAGTCAGAGAATTATTTTTTAAGTATCCAGTAAGTCTGACCTAACATGGATAAAAATTACACACTCAAAACATAACTTTTGAATAGTCAAAATTGCCACCCTACTTTCCTATTTAATCTCCAACTCTTAAATAACTGAGGTGGGAGGAACATACAGAAATACATAACCAGCTTGATGAAGTTTGTAAAACTGTCCTATTTAATTTTATTCTCATAAACCTAGAAAAAGCAAGCCAGCGTCTTTTTAATCAGCATGGCTAGGTGGAGACTTCATGATGCTGTGAGCATTTCTAAGTTGTCATATGCTCTAAATTTAGAAAATGTTCACTTTTCATTGAAAAATACATCTCAGCCAATAATTTCCTCTTTGGTGAGGGAGTAGAGGTCTTTACAACATACCACTCTTGGCAGAAACTAGGTTGGAAAACTAACATTCTTCCAAGATTTTAAAGCATCTTTTATATGTAATGATAATCTAATATATAATCATAACTCCATATTTTTCACATTAATTATAAGAGATAATTAATATCATATATATTTTTAATAATTCCTAGTTACCTACCTTTTCTTGTTTGCTCGGTTTTTTTTTGTTTTTTTTTGTTTTTTTTGTTGTGTGTGTGTGTGTGTGTGTATGTATTTCCCTGGCATTCTTCTTGTGTTTGAAAGATAATAAGCTTTTAAACTGAGATAGTACCTACCTATCTTGAGTCAAGTTTATTTTTGGAGAGGAGAAGTATAAGGTCATAACTGTATTTTCGGTCACACTCCTACCAGGGAAAAGAAATTTTGAGTCTTTGGACTATGTATTGATTTTAAGGTATATGTTAAAGGTGACTATATAGTCTTTGAAATTGCTGTGTGTTCCTATCTTAATTCATCTAGGAGGTTGGAAGTTCTCTAGCACTGACACCTATATTCATTTTTATTTCCTTTTTTTTAATACTAGGCTATTCTTTTCCCCTGAAATATATTAGGACATATCTAACTTAGATGCATTATGTACCTGAAATATCAGGAAAAAATTCCAGTCTCAGCATGCCATTTCTGTCCACTGTAATTTAGACATTTTTCATGTTGCATTTATGTCTGCGAGGGTAACAGTCCTTACATTAAAAACCAGCCTTCATTAAGTGGCTTACCCTTCAAGTAGTCCATTACAGCCTTTCACTCTCTCACCTTGCACTGCTTCCAACTCCCACTGTTTTTAATAAGCAACTCAAATGTGGCAAACTATCTTCTCTGTGCAGAGGGCAAAAGCATCAATAGACAGATGATAACATGGTTTGGAAGAGCACATTGAAATAAGCCCATAATTCTCATCCTAAAATACCTCACTGCAAACAAAGACTTAAAATTATTTTCAAACCCTAGACTTTAGTCTGATTCCTTTCGTCCATGATTTTTTCTTTTACCATACATGCTCTAATGAGACAGCAGATAACATATGTGTTTCTAAAGGTTTGCTTAAACAGACACGCAGCAAGTGTTTATCAAATAACTAAAAATAACATACACATAAATCAAAGGAAGGGCAAAGCGTCTCCCCAAGGGATGAGAATATCATAGAGAAAATCCTGAAGCTTGGCAGCAATTCCAAACAACAGTGAGTCTCAGATTCCATTTCCCACAAAGGGTAAGAAACAGTCATTTAAAGCTTTCAAATTGTGGAAAGAAGTATTTTAAATGAAGTAGTAGAAGATCATTCTGGATTAAATCAAATAAATTATATAGCTCATTATATAGTGGATTTAAATAAATGCCCATGCCCAAGTCAAGGAAATTTGTCAACTCAACTGCAGTGATGAAGCACGGTGGTACTGGAACAAGAGTAACTTTTATATTAGACAGACAGATTTAAGTTCCAATTCTGTCCCTGGGTGACAATTATTCTATCACTCTCTGCCATGTTTTGTCTCTGGTAGATATGCTGTTAAGATATTCACTCCACTTATCTCCGAAATATCACCAATTTTATAAGGCTCTTGTGAAGATTAGAAGATACATGTCATGTCCCTGGTATAGTAAAACTCAGTAAGTGACCAGTAAGTGGTAGCTAATAGTAGTAAGTACTTTCATCTCAGAGATGCTTTTCTAAAAGTGCTTGAGTCTGCAACATCATTGTTTTCAAACTACCCTTTGGAGCCATATGTCTCTACGTGTTTTTCAGAGAAGCCATCTTGATGGAGCCAGGGTGGTATAGAGAAAGGGGTAGATGGTGAGAATGTAGGGGATTATAAAACAGATAAGTTCCAGGACCATTCATTCCTTGTCATTGATTTTAAATATTAAAGTGATAGAAAATATTATTTTTTTAAAAAAGAATTCTATTACTTAAAAAAAAATCTGAAAATCATTGAATGACGCATAACCTTCCAGCTTTAAACATCTGAAGTTTTCACGCTCCTTAGAATCTAACACCTATATCCAGTACTTTTTGAGGTTTTCCCATCTACGTTAATGGCCTCATGTTAAGCCCTTCCTCTCCCCATTACCACCAAATCTCTCAGTTCCCCTTAGGACAACTGCACATGTTCACACACACTCTCTTTGGTTGTGTTAACAGACAATGCTAAGTAGATGACAAAAAGAAAGTAAACCAACATTTTGGCCTGATTTTCTCAATCTCGTAATACAAAACTAGCGATAATATTGCAAGCTAATATTCATTGCCAATACTACATGCACAGAACTTTATTCTACCAATCTCTGCCATGTTTTGTCTCTGGAAGATACACTGTCAAATAATTCTGTTAATTCAGCTGTGTGAGATTTTTGACAGTTATGGCTTTGTAAAAAACTATGCTTTTTTATTAATCATCTATAATAGGGGGATGAAAATATTAGTCAAAGTGATCCACTACTTTTAGTAACTGATCACTGTTCCCAGAGAGAAAGAAAGCCTAAGTCAACATAACTTCCTTGAAATTTTTTCTCAGATGTATTAAAATGTGTTCCATGGCATATATAATATTATTTTAATAAATTATTACTAAATTAAATAAATTATTACTAAATCTTCTCTTATAAAACTAAGAGACTCATATCATTACTTAGGAAACTTAGCTGAAATCATGTTACCTATAACTTTTATTGTATGCATCAAATTATGGACACCCATGTCTTATTTAATTTTCACTTCATCACAGTATCAGAAGAAAGCCAGGTACAAAATCATGTGACCCATGCATGCTCCCCACTGAATAAAAAAACACACCAAATCTCTCCAAATAAATAATTGAAAAATGGTCCTGGAATTATCTGTTTTATAATCCCCTACATTCTCACCCCTACCCCTTTCTGTATACCACCTGGCTCCATCAAGGTGGCTCCTCAGAAAAACACTTAGAGACATATGGCCTTAAACTACTGAATCAGACCTCACTAAGTTTTATAAGGGAGGAGGAGTGGTTCCTTACTTCAATCTTCAGAGTAATTTAACAACAAAGGGCTTTCATTTTTTACTATATATACAGTGTGTGCATTTTAAATAAAGAACTCTGTACAGTTATTTTCATTATTATCAGTGAAAACACTAGACTGAAGGTGGGATACAATTCAGTCATAATTTTAAATACTATCAAATAAGTTCTCTAGAGACTCTAAACTAAAATTCAATTAGCTATTTTGCAAAAACCTGTTAAAAATAAAAAGCAGTTATAATTACAGTCAAAGATAAATGTATTGAGATGTCAGTCACAATCCCTACTCTCAGATCTAGGAGAGAACATATAGTAAAATGGTCAAATAAATTTATTTCATGAGGTCATAAGCATAAAAAAATTGACAAACAATGTCAAGAACACACATGTCTTTGAGATCAAAGAATGATTTCTAGTTCTATGCAACAGCTCTTATTCTCTATGGGTTCTGAAAATATATATACAATAGACTTTTGAGGGACAGAAGATCGGAATTTGACAAGCAAAAGTCAAAAACAAAAAGAGAGAAAGAAATATGAAAAGAGAACACTTTTTTGATAGAATTAACAACATTTAAGTGTATCCAATATAGATAGGTAATATTTATAAAGACTAAGGTCAAATCTTAATAATTATGTAAGGGTCTAATTACATAAAAATCTCAACTCAATATAATGTTTGGTAAATGGGGTATTTTTGAATTCAATTAATTTTCTAACAAGAGGAAAAACATCTTGTTTAATTCTTGACAAAAATATTTTAAAACTTACATTACAGAAGTTGACATTTTTGTCTAAGAAAAATAATTTTTTTTGAGAAATAAAACACAAAAAAATATGGTCTATGTTCATAAGGACTTTTTTTTTTTTTTTTTTTTAAGACAGAGTCTCACTCTGTTACCCAGGCTGCAGTGCAGTGGCCTGATCTCGGCTCACTGCAACCTCCGCCTCCCAGTTCAAGCAATTCTCCTTCCTCAGCCTCCTGAGTAGCTGGGATTACAGGCAGCTGCCACCATGCCTGACTAATTTTTCTATTTTTAGTAGAGACGGGGTTTCACCATGTTGCTCAGGCTGGTCTCGAACTCCTAACCTCGTGATCCGCCCGCCTCGGTCTTCCAAAGTGCTGGGATTACAGGCGTGAGCCACCACGCCCGGCTGTTCATAAGGACCTTATAGTCTAATGGACAGAAGGACATATAAGAAATATACTATAAAAATAGCTACAATTTAAGTAGTACATAGTACAGTGGGCCGCATCTTCTGATATGAGGATAGAAGAAACAGAGTTTCAAGCCAGTCAGGAAAATCTTCTCAAAGCAGGTAGAACGTGAGAAGACACAGTAAAAATGGGTAAGAGATTAACGAATGGATAAGCAGACAAAGAAATATTTCAGCAGAGGGAAAAGAACAATACAAGGCCCACACAAAGATATCAGCGAACACAGTATTTATTTAGTAGGGAGGAGAGAATCCAGTATGGTAAGAAAACTAGAAGTTTGGACCCATTTGAGGATATCTATTTTATATCTTTTGTTCTAATCCATGACATTTTATTTATTATTTTAGTTTCCCAGCCTTGTGTGCATTGGTTTTTATTTTTTTCAATTTACATTGACATATCAGATACATAAAGAAAAGTACACAACTCATCATTGCACACAGCTCAATGACTTTTTACAGATTTCAGCACACCTCAAACTGTAAAACGCCATCCAGATTAAGAAATAGAATATCATCACCAGCATCTGGAAGACTCCTTCATGCCACCTGACAAGCACTAACCATCATTACCCAAACCCTCCTTCAAGTAAATAATATGCTGATTTCTAATATCATTGATTAGTTTTGCCTGTTTCTGAAACTTACATAATTTATATAAATGTATATAATACATACTCTCTTGCATCTGGTTTCTCTCCCTTAAGATTGTGTTTGCGAAATTCATTCATGTTATTGTATAAAGCAATGGTTCTTTCATTTATTTGCAGTACAATATTTCACTTTATGAATATGCCACCATTTATTTATACATTGCACTGCTGACAGACATTTGGGTTGTTTTTAGCTTGGAACTATTATGAATGCTGATGCTATCAACATTCTTGCACATGTCTTTTGGTGAACATGCATACTCAGTCCTGCTGGGCTTATACCCAAGAATGGATTTGCTGGTCACAAGGTTGTACAGATTTATGCTCCAACAGTAGTATTAGAGGGTTTTACTTATTCTACATTCTTACCAACACTTGGAATTAAAATTTTCATTTTTCCACTGATTGTACAGTAGTTTCTCACTGTGTTTTAAATATGCATTTCTTTGATGACTGAGTTAAGTAGGTGTTCATAATTTCATATGATTTGGGGACACTAGAACTGTCTTATGAAGTACTCATTCTTCTGCATGCTATTTTTTATTCTATTTGGCAGACCTTTCAGTCATCATCATTGTAATCTGACCAAACTAGTATGTGGAACTGTGTAGTAAGTAGTAAGTAGGAACTGCTACAGAACATTTTAAGCAATGATTGATGGTACTGTATCTCCTCATGAATAGAAACAATTTTTTTTATTATTCTCTACTATCTATCTTCAGTCTTCTTTCATTCTAATCTATTTATTCATCCTTTTTTCTCTCACTCTTGGCTTTCAGTCCAAAAAGTTAATAAACAGAAGCCAGTTAATAGCACCAAGTATCACACAGTTCAATAACAAGTTAGGTTTGGAGAGCCAGCTTTTATAGAGTTCCCAAACATTTGGGGTTTTTTGTTTGTTTTGTTTTTGTTTGTGTTTTTAAAGTACATAAAGAAAATAAGCATGCTTGCTAATTTATGTGACAATAAAAAGATCATAACATTTTAGCATGAAAAATCTAAATGTCTCCTTTACACCAATTTATGAGCAAGGAATATTCAGTCAGCACTTTAAAGGAATATCAGAAGGAAAATGAAAAAAATAGTATCTATTATAAAAAGAGATGACTAAAAGAATAACATACATGAGTGCTTTCTCTCACCTCTCTGAAGACTAAACACTGTTTCATTCGGCAAAGTGGCCGTGACCTTTTTCCCTCCTCTGCATGATTAATTACTTAATGTCCTATTAATTGGAAGATATGGCTGAATTTCAAATGCTTTCATTTTCTGTGCATATCATCCTGTACTGTAACCACCGATTAAGCTGTTCATCAAAGGTGAGCCAACAAGGTCATCTGAGCAGTAATTCTTCAACTATTCATTACCCACCATCAATGGTAATTAGCAATGGTAACATTTCCATAAATCAACATCTTTCTTATTATTCTATGATGATAAACATTCAAAATGTGTGCATCCCAGCCCACCCACATCCTTTAATTTTATATGAAAAGTTTAGTCTAAATATACCACAGAGAAAATTCAGGTGAAAAATTACAGTAGTTTAATTAAAATGCACCAGGAAAATAAGGTTACATACCTTTGAAAGAAAAAATACAAATCTACGCACAAAATTAAATGAGTCTGCTGACAAAGTAGGGGTCAAATATAAGAAACAAAGAGTGTCAACCACACAGTTCCAGTTTTCCCTCTGCAAAGGAAATTATGGCTCAGTTCAGCCTCAAAAATAACCATTTCCTACTCAATCACGGAGAGTGACAATTCAGAGTAAAAAGCAAATTTAATTCATTCTATTATAAAAGTACACATCACGGGGGAACCAACACAAAATTTTTCAAGGAAATATTTACCATATTCATTTACAAACTAAAAATTACATTTAGAAATGTAACTTTTAGGTTTTATTTACTTTGTGTGCTTGTGATAAATTGTTTATTGTTGATGTTTTCACTTTTTTTTTTAAATCACATTGATCAGCAAGTTCAGGGATGCTGCTGATAGAATTTTCTCTCTTCAATAAGCAGAATTAACATTTTCATTTCTAATGGCTATGTCTAAAATTGTCATATCTAAAATTCACACTCAAGAAGGACTTACTCTTTTTGTAGAAAAATTAATTCTAAACCATTTTTAATCATAATAAAAATACTAAATATACTTTGAAACCTAAATTATTAGTACTAAGCAATCAGCACATTAATTATATTATATATTATAATAGCATAATGATAATATATTATATATACATAACTATATATAATATATAATTATGTACTATTTTTGTTTCTTTCTAAATATTGGAAGGAAAAGAGTTTGTTCTCTTTCATGTTGTATTTTTAAATTCCTGTTTACATTTTAATGTCACAATTTAATGTTATTGCTAAGCATATACGCACAGAACTTGGAATTTGCTCCAGATTAATATGCAGAATTGAAAGCACAACTATTAGTCCAATATTGTATGAAATGGTATGTAAATATTGACATCCTATGTTAATGTGTTTTTCCTAAGATGAAACATAATGCACACTGTTTTAAACAATTATAAATTATATTATCTCCCAAAACCCAAAATCAAAGGATATAACAAAGTAAGGTAAAAAACGAAAAGATGCTGGGCGCGGTGGCTCACGCTTGTAATCCCAGCAGTTTGGGAGGCCGAGGCGGGCGGATCACGAGGTCAGGAGTTCGAGACCAGCCTGACCAACACAGTGAAACCCCGCCTCCACTAAAAATACAAAAATTAGCTGGGCGTGGCAGTGCACGCCTGTAGTCCCAGCTACTCAGGAGGCTAAGGCAGGGGAATCACTTGAACCTGGGAGGCAGAGATCGCAGTGAGCAGAGATCAGGCCACTGCATTCCAGCCTGGGTGACAGAGTGAGACTCCATATCAAAAAACAACAACAACAACAAAAGAACAGATCTGGCCCTATTTCTCTATAATTCCCACATAAAAGATCTCCATTTGATACTTTTGTCTCCACACTGCCTCCCCTCAGAGTCACTGGCATGCTCATGACCACTGGGAGAAAGACACAACCTCTCTCCTTACAATGTAATAAAATTCTTTCCCTTCAGTCTGATTGGATCCAACATATACAATTTAATTGAATAACTACGAAAAGAGCTGATCCCACATTTGAGAATTTTTTGGAAAGGATTTTTTTTTGTTTATTCTGTTTTTTCTTTTATTTTTTGATTTTTGGTTTGTCACTTGGGTTTTTATTAAATAGAAAAAAACACTAATACTTATCTTTTTTTTTTCAAAGACAACAAGGAATACAGAATTACAGAAAGTTATTAAGGGAAAGGCAAAGAATAAGGCTCTTAGAAGTGATCCAGTAGCACAATAATTTAGCTTATTATAACCATTAAATTATTGTTGTTACACTTTAAATAAGAAAATCATAGATACTGCAAAACTATTCCCCCAACACTGACTAAACAGAGTGACTCTCACCTTGGGGCATCTCGGGTGGTAGATAATGAGGCTCTTGAGCACTAACATGCACCCATTCAAAGTCATCATACAGATCCTGGTGGTAATCACAGGCCCCTGGACCATCATCAAAAGTACAGCCACCTAGGAGAAAAGAAGACTACTGTTACATTCTAAACAGATTTTCCAAACATAACGAAAGTTCTGGAGAAGGAAATGTTATATTGATATATATAATGTTACTCACAATCTTAATAATAAATGGTACTCCTGTTTATCACTATTCTCTTTAAATTTTCACAGAAAAATAAATGTCTATCAGTACTTTCTGTTTGAAAAAGAAGCCCATTTGAGACCCAGAAGGAAGACTGAGGCACAGATTTTGAATTATTAAAAATAATAGATACATGCATAAGTCAGGCTTTCTTGAAATATACAAAGTGTTAGTGGTAGAGGATCTTGACTGCAAGTTGTCCAGGTTCTTGGCGTCTTGAACAAAGAATTGGACAAAATCCACACCAAAGCGAGGAAAGAATGAAGTAACGAAAGCAGAGATTTACTGAAAATGAAAGTACACTCCACACTGTGGGAGTGCGCGAGCAGCAGCTCAAGGGAACAGTACGGAATCTTCTCAGGTCCAAATACCTCCCTAGAGGTTTCCGATTGGCCACTTGGTGTTCACCTCATGTAAATGAAGTGGTGGCCCGCAATCAACATTTTACAGTACTTTCTGCAACCAATCAGAGGTACTTTCAATTTTCCATCACCACTCAGAAAACAAGGAAGTTTGCAAAGGGAGTACGCTGTGGTCCTTCTGTTACTAAGGCCTGGAAAGTTGGGGTTTTCCTTTCTATTTAGTTCTAGGACGTCAGGTGAATCAGCCTTAGGTTCCCTGCCTCCGGACCCTATTCTCCTGCCTCACAAACCACCTGGAGTCTAAATCGTTTTTAGTAACTTTAGTGGTGAGAAGTAGAGGAAGAATAAGAGTGAAAGTTGTCTTCCTCTACAATGCAAGTTCAAGAAGGTGAAATAATTTAAGTTTTACTAACATCTTTGCTTTAAAAGAACTCTTTGAAATCTCATAATAGCCAATGAAACATAAAGCTTTTTAGGGTCTAAAGTGTTTGAGGTCTGTGATATCTTTCATGCTTTATTTAGATTACTTTCATACACAATTATGATTTAAAAGGTTGGGGGTGACTCAAGCATAAAACCAATCAGATTAGCCTATAATCACTTTCACCGTTCCCACTTTATTTAATAACTTGGTCTTTTTAAACGGGGGTAGCATTCCCCATTTGCATCAGTCATGGTTTTTCTGGCGTAATTTTCAGGGGTAATTGTATTGCAAAAGTAGAAGGATTATTTTTGCTTCTTAGGCGATGTGTACAGGCACACACGACTCAACATATTTAGTTTATTCAAATCATGAAAATAAGAACTGGCCTATATGTCTCATCTTGAAAGAAAATGCATTAGAACTAACGAAAATCCAGCAGTGGGTTTAATGAGAAAAACCAATAACCTGTCTCCTTTCAAATAGTGTATTTGTTCAGTTTCCATAGGGATCTCTGTGCAGAAACTCAGTGAATTCTCTGACCAAGCAACAGACTAAGGAGTAGTAAACTCCAGTGCTGTAAATTCTTCTCTGTAAAAAAAAGGAATTTACTTTCCTCATCAAAAGTTTGGCAATCTGAGTATAAGTGAAAGTTACACTGCTCACCAATGACAGGGAGGGGTCAGTGTCACAGGCAAAGCAGGAGACATCAGAGATGTCATGGTGGCACTACAAGCTCTGAAATCTTTTCCAAAAGGAGAATATGTTGAGTGTATTCTTGAATCACTCTTATGACTACAGCAATCCTATAAAACAACCAAACTCGAGAACTCAAAACCTTAATATTGTCTTTTAAATATGCTTAAAATAGACCTTTTATAAATGCTCTCATTAAAAAAGATGTACTTTTTAATTTAAAATTAACCAATGAAAATAGGTTGCTAGGAAATGTATCTTCACATAGCAAGAGGAAAGTTTTTCTCAAAATATAATTTGCTATCAAACTCTAAAATAATTTACTGCTTTGTAACACAGGCCTTCAGGGCCCCCATTACCCTTTATAATAGTGTGAGTGCCCTCTGTATATAAATTTAAACTACCAGTGGGACCCACATTGACTCATTTGAAAGACAAATGGCCTTAATTGCTCTCCTTCATAGCCACTGTTAATTTTAGACTACAGGATTCTGATTAGCAATAACAACTAGGAGTAGCTGTACAAAATAAGTGGGTCAATGCTTGCTATTTGTTGCACATCCCTTCCCTATCTGAAATTTGTCAAAGGAGTCTTGAAAATCATTACTGGTCTACTTGACTTGAGTAATAAGAAAGCTTTTTAAATAATTTTTAATTTCTAATTTACAACAAGGTCTAATCCAAGAGGCATAAAATATAGCATACTAATAAAACTTTTACAAATTTTTTTGTAAAGAATTTTGTATTTCAAGGTTAAGGGCAAATACAGTATACTGGAGTAGATGATAGGAAATGCAAAAATAACTGGACTGATAAATGAGACAAACTATGGGAGACATATATATTAAAATAAATACAATGTGTTATGCGGGATAATAATATGATGAAAATTCCACAGAACATTAAAGAATTGGCTACTCACACCAGGGTTGGTTAGGGAAGGTTTCAATGAGTTACTCATAGTGAATATGAGGAAGGATATACCAAACAGAGCAAAGCCAGAATGGAAATGGGAATAAAACTAGAGGAAAAGCAAGATCAAAGGCATATAACTCTAAAGGAACATCATATGTTGTGAAATTTCAAATAACTCTGTATAATGAGCATCCAGAATACATAGGAAACTAGGAAGAAATGAAAGTAAATACGAAAAGTTTTAGATGTCAGAAAAAGGAGTTTAGAGTTTGTTCTACAGCTGTATTAAAATCTTTAAAAGATTTTATCCAAGAGTATGAGGCAATTCAAGCCACATTAAAAAAATGGTAATAACCCATGTTGAGTTAAAAGAGGAATAGAGGGAAACAGAGGAAAATAATTTGTTTCAACCTTGTAACAGAGAGCGCATAATATATCCTGAACTAATTCCATCATATACAGTTCCTATTGACCATTTAGGACTCACTAGAAAGGCCTAAACACCAAGTCCTCTATCATACGTGGTCCTCAATACATGTTCTTGAGTTCAAGACATCTTTATGTATAGTATTACATAAATCTATTTAAAAAGAGAAATGTCATAGCAAGCTCCTAATTCATAAATTAAAACATACCTTATGAATTTAAAGTTTCACTGAGCTGGATGGCAGATGGCAGAACAGAAAGAGGTAATACCAAACTGGTGTTCAAGAAATTTAGTTAGGCAGAGGGAAAGAAAAATGAGCAAGGAAACATTCCATTTCAGCTGTTTCATTTGCTACTGGTAATAAGGCTACAATGAGTAGCTGCAAATCATGCCAGAGAAATGGTGACCACAGTTCCTTGACCTTTGGAGGAAAATTACTTCTGAAGAGCATTTCACAGACTGCTAATTCCTCTACGCCAATCAATCAACTAAGGGACAGATCTATCACCGAAATGGTCTGTTTCTATGATAGCAAGCCACTTAAGGGGTTGGCAACCTGTTCATCTGAAAATAAAAATCAAGCTGATATGAACTTGCCAGAATATCTTTTTACTCCGAAACTGCTCGGTGAAAAATGTGGTACTAAGTAGTATTAGACACCAAAAAGATTAAACATAAAAAGGAAAGAAAAGTAAGTACCCCTGACCCCAAAACTATATTGCCTAAACATCTAGCATTTAGATTCTTGAGTGCTTATTTAAACAGAGGGTAAAAGCTCTATGAGAGAACACGGAACCAGAGACATTTTCTGTAGAATCAGGAAAAAATGAATACTAAATTTAAGTCCTTTCTGAAGTCAAACTTTTCAATAAAACCTGGGGTCACGTTAATTTAAACAAAGTTGAACTGAAGAAAAATGAAAAGTCGTAGATCACTGGAGAGCCATGAAGGACATTCTTTTAAAAGATTATTGTCCTAAGATCTTCCACACTCTCCCCTCCATGGCACCTCTAGATTCTTAATTTTCTGACTGAGTACAGTAGCAAGAAACAAATAGAATTATCTTTCATGGTTCTTTACTGTTTGTAAAGAACAAGCTTTATTTAGCTGAAGATATGAAGCATTTTCTTAAATTTTTGGAATATATATAGTTTTTTCAAGTAAAAAGAAAGTCCAAGACAAAATAAGTTGGAAAATACAATATCCTTAGTAAAGCTGCTTGATGATCCTCAAAAATGGACAAATTAACCTTCTCCAATTGTGAATTAAGCTGTGATACATAACTTTGCTCATGTAAGTGATTATCAACTTGGAATGATCTTTCTTCCATTCAGGACACAGAGAAAGATTAATACATGTCACATTAGGACACATGCAATACTGAGTTAAGCTAACTTTGTCATCTATCTATGCTAATCAGAAACCATGATATAAATTTGTTGATATGATCTACAAAATTCATTACAAAAAAGCCAATATATTTCACAAAAATTGTAAAAAGAATGAAAATTACTAAATATCTTAAATGCAGTTCTATTGATAATCTGAGTAATACAGTTTATTCCCAGAAAAACACCTTACAGAAGTATAGAAATTAATGGTTTTGTTTGTTTGTTTTTGTTTTTGTTTTTGTTTAGAGATGGAGTCTCACTCTGTCGCCCAGGCTAGAGTGCAGTGGCGCGATCTCGGCTCACAGCAACCTCTGCCTTCCAGGTTTAAGCGATCCTCCTGCCTCAGCCTCCCCTGAGTAGCTGGGACTCGTGCCACCATGCCCATCTAATTTTTGTATTTTTAGTAGAGACGGGGTTTCACCATGTGGGGCCAGGATGGTCTCAATCTCTTGACCTCGTGATCCACCCGTCTTGGCCTCCCAGTGTGCTGGGATTACAGGCGTGAGCCACTGCGCCCAGCCAGAAATTAATGCTTTTAAATAAAGTTCCTATTTCCTCTGAAATATACTGGGATATGCGAATCATTTTTTTTCCTTTTAACGCTACACTTCTGGGAATACTGAAGGTACAAAATAAAAACTGGCATACCGTGATAAATATTTAGGTACTTTATACCTGCTCTAATGATAAGCAACACTTTTGTTTTCCAATTTAAGTACTGAAATTAAAATAGGAAAAATTCCAAGTAGATACAAGTAACAAATGGTTTTAAGGGCATATTTATGAGTCACTGGTCATAATATATTGCTCTGGTTCATTACCAAAGAGGATCTACTAGAAGAAAACAGAAAATTTATGAATAGGAGTTCTTTAAATAATAATCACTTGAGATCCTGAAAGTATCCTTTGCCCTGCTTGTAGTTAATTAGGGTGTGAAAATATTATTTAGGTCTAACTCCTTCATTAAGGAAAAACAACTAGAGACACATTTCAGGAAATCCAAACCCATTATTTATTGATAGGTAGAAATAACTCTTAATGATGACAGAAGAACTCACTTCAAACACAATTGTTACTTATCTAATTGTTCATCCCTTGAGTTCCATCTCTAGCCAAGAATACATGTTCATATAATCCAAGATTATTTAGCTAGTAAGACTTCTATTCAAACTGTATATTATTCGAAGCAGATGCTCCACTCCAACTAAATAAACAATCTTCAATAAGACTGAATTATCCAGAATGGAATAACAAGTTCAGTTCCACCCCCTTCATCTTTACAGAGAAACAACATTAAAATCCCTTATACATCTATGAATAAGGCTTAAGAATTTTAAGTATGGGCCATACATCATCCACGCAGGTAATAGAAGAGAGACAATATATCTAGACACAGCCTGGAGTAATGGCTAAATACATAAATAGCTTTCATATTTTACCTCTTTTAGCTTCAATTTCCTCCCCAGTACGATCAAAATAATAACAGTTATAGCACAGTGGTGTTAGGATTAGTCATAATGCATGTCAAGCTCCTAACACCCAACACAGTTTTTTTTTTGGTTAAAAAAGCATCCTTATTTTTTCATGTTTTATTCTTCCCAGTTTATTCTCTATATGCTATACAGATGCACATATTTAACAGCTAAGCCCTTAACAAAAAGAGAAATATGGTTTCCATCTAATATACACAGAAAGACTAAAAATAGTTTATATGAAGGCAATATTACCATATTGCCAAAACCAGTTTTACCTGAACACTCATCATATATACTTTCAAACAGTCAGGAAATACCTTCCTTTAGCGTAGGAGTCAGCAAACTTCATGTACAAAAAGCAAGTTAGTAAATGTTTCCAGTTTTGTGGGCCATGCCATTTTTGTCATAACTACAAAACTCTTGTCATAGTATCAAGAAGCCACAAAGAATACCTAACAAATGGGCATAGCTATGGCTGTACTTGAATAAAATTCTATTCACAAAACAGGCCACAGTCTGAATTTGGCCCAAAGTTCACCAGCCCTTGGTTTAGATCACTCTGATCTTAAACCATAGGCAGAACATAGTCTGGTTAAAAGCTTACAACCAAGAACCTTTAACTTCTGCATCACCTCCATATTTTCTTTCTCACATATTAAGAGGAGTAGCGGTGAGCCACAGCCAAGCAACTGAACCAGAAATGGAGAATGATAGTGCTACATCTGAAACCAAATCAGTTGTTTGGCTGGCAAGCAGTATGAGTAATAAAGTGAGACTAGAAAAGGTGAGAACTAGAGACACTTTCAAGGGCCTTCCGTCCAAATGCTTCAAGCTTGTAAGACCACAGTGGGAAATACCTCATGCCCTAGCATATACATGCATACATGCGTGCAAGTTATCTCCTACTATGCTTCACTAGTTCAGTGCTCTTTCCATAAATGAAATAAAATGAAGAATAGTTAGGTAAATCAAGGAATCAGCTATTAAAAGGAAAAAGGTCATCAGTTCTTTGTTTTAAATACAGGTAACCGCATATCCATTGTAGCAGGGGATCCCGAAGTGTGATCAATCCAAATCTTACCTAATTTTTAGCTCTCAGGTACAAGTTGGAATTCAAAAATAAGCCTCTGAGACCTGGGCAGCTCTGCCAATAAGTATGTGACTTCATCCAACCTCATTATTGGAGCTAATGGGTAATTAATTACATGCCAAATACCCATAGAAATGATTTCACAGATGAAAAGAGGTTTTGAAAATGTAAAAGGAACATGTTAGTGAAAAGTACCCCAAAGAAGAAAAAATGAAACTTGCCAAGAGTCACAGAGCAAGAAAGTACCAGAGCCAGGGGCTGAACCTAGGCACTATGGGTTCTTTACTCTTAAACACTACATTAAGTGTCTCCTAAAAGTGAGGCAGGATTAGCCATTTTCAGAATTATCCAGTACAGCTGCCTCCAATGGGCACAACCTCAAGAGAAGGTATTCCCCATTCCATCCATTTGGTAGCATGATGATGCTGCATCCTATGAGAATAGACATGTGGTAAACTTTGAACCATATAATATATCAACGTCTCTCAGGCATCCCTGATATCACTGACAGGAAAGGGTCTTTAATAGAAAAAGCTATAAAAGCCTAGCTAATTAACTAAAATTTCTACAAATAATTTTATTTAAATAGGGTGACTTAAGGCTGAAAATTTATATGATCATTAACACTATACTATCACTCTTGCTTGGCAACCTTCCCTTTTCACCTCACCTCCCCCTAAAGCATGTATAAACCAGTGAATTTTCTATCTTTGAAAACATTAAAAGCAATTTTGTTCGGACTATTTTTGCAGTAGCCCTTGCACAAACTGTAGGATAATAAACCAGGTGTTTTCCCAAAGATCATTAGTGAGTATATTTACCCAAGTTTCTTTTCCTATTTTTTATACTTTTAACTATTCCAGTAAAAGGTCTTTTTCACTTAGTGTTAGATACACAATCTAGAGAAATTCATCGAACAAAGCAACAGAGAGTAAATGTACTGAAAAATAAAATTCTCAACTGAAGCCATATTTACATTTTGGTAAAACTGGAAACCACCCAAGCTCACATTTAAACATATCTTTGTTTTGTTTTGTTTTGTTTCTCCTGGAGAGATTACTGATTACTGGTGGGCTCCACTTCACCCATATGAGACACACACTGGCTTATTTCAGCAGTTGCTCCTGACTTAGCTCAAGCATGATGGGAGAGAGATCATTTTTCTTTTTTTTTATGAAGGGACGTAAAACAGAATTCCGTGACCCAACCTCCTAGAGGAAGGGCAAAGACCTGCTTTGAGGGTTTGAATTTAAAGTTTTACTTCAGATTGGCAAAGGAAATTTAAGTATACTCAACTACATTTTAAGGAGGTCAACAATTAAGTTTTGTAGGACTTTGAAATACACTTCAAGAAAATAGATAACCAATTAATTTATGTAAATAATTAAAATGCATCTTGAAATCAAAAAACAAAAAAAAAGAACACTTTTTTAAGGAGGATCACTTGAGCCCAGAGTTGGAGACTACCCTGGGCAACATAGGGAGAACCCACCTCTACAAAAAATAAATAAAAAAAAATTAGCCAAGCATGGTGGAACGTGACTATAGTCTCAGCTACCCGAGAGGCTGATTACTTGAGCCTGGGAGGTCAAGGCTGCAGTAAGCCATGATCATACCACTGCACTCCAGCCTGGGTGGCAGAGTGAGACCCCATCTCAAAAATAATAATAATAATTATATATATAAAACTTTATCTTCCTATATTTTTCATTAATATTAACCCCCTTGCATATCAAAATGTTTCTAGACTAGGTTAACATAGAAGGCATATGGGCCAATGTTTGGGTTTTTCAAACTTCTTAAAACACAATTCTTAAGACTAAAGAATGATGGTTTTTTTCTGTCATTTTCTTTGGTTAGAATAGATAATTGGATATCATCCTCATTACAACCAGTATATTAACTATTGCTATTGGATACATTAACCAGTTCTTCTCATTCTAAGCATAATTTAATGACAGTTTAGCCTTCTGTCTGGTCCAGAGCAAACAAGCCACTCACACAAACACAAGCAAATCATTTTGTTAATGTTGACTGACATCAGAACCCTGGATGTCGGGGACCTTTGCTCCCTTTCTCATAAAGACAGCACTCTGGGTTTTAAGGGAAGTTTTAGTGAAACTTTTAAGATAATCTTTAAAGGTGTCAACTTCTAACCAAATCAATGCTGAAACCTGAATCACAGTAACTTTCTCCTCAAATTTCCTCCCTCAGTTGAGTGCATATGGTTACCATTTAGTGGAATCACCACATAAAGATTTCCCAAGCAGCAAAAAGCACTGCTTTGCACAGACATTTAAGTGACATGTAAGTCAATGGCCATTCTAACCTAACAAAGACAGTGTTAAAGGGGGGAATAGTGAATGAAATTTTACATTGGATCTCACCAAGATTCAGGTTTGTGTGTGTGTGTTCATTTCTATACCAACAAAGAAACTATTTGGACTCCCTCCAATTTCTGCTTCCAACTACTACTTAGAAACGTGTGTCAATTAATTTGAAAATTTCTCCACAATATCCTATGATATTAGAAGCTAAGTGCTGTGTACATTTAAGTCATCATTAGTTAGTATTTTAGTTAGGAAAACATCTAGATCAAGCTTGTCCAACCCACAGGCAATAATTTAATGGAGATAAGAAGTGAACCTTCTTTTGCTTCAAACTCTAGTATATCAGAAGTTCGTGGTTCCTAAGAACAGTACATATGAGAAGATCTCCAAACTTGAAATATTCTGATCTCATCAGAGTTAGATGATTGGGGCCTGGCACAGTGGCTCATACCAGTAATCCCAGCACTTTGGGAAGACAGAGGGGTTAGATTTCTTGAGCCTAAGAGTTCAAGACCAGCCTGGGCAACAAAGCGAGATCCCCATGTCTACAAAAATTTCTAAAAATTAGCCAGGAGGAGTGGCATACACCTGTAGTCCCAGCTACTTGGGAGGCTGAGGCGGGAAGATATCTTGAGCCCAGGAATTTGAGACTGCAGTGAGCTATTGTGCAACTGTACTCCAGCCTGATGGACAGAGCAAGACCCTATCAAAAAAAAAAAAAAAAAAAAAAGAAGAAGAAGAAGAAGAAGAAAGAAAAAATGATTCACTAAAGTATTATAAAACTCATTTATTCAACATTCTTTCAATTTTCCCTCCAGCCCTTGCTCTAAAACATAATGACCAAGTTTTAATCTATCAAATTGTAAGGTTTATTAAAAAGGTGAACACAGTTCTTCAGAATAAAATATAAAAACCAAGAAGTTTTTAAATTTCAAGTATGGGGGAAGAAAGCTGGCAAATATGATTTGCATAATAGATTAAAGCACTAGCAGTATGAAGATAGCATTTGAAGTCTGGTATCTTCTCTGTAGTATTATAGCTTTCATGACTCACTTCTCATCTCAAGCCATACCTTATATTTTGAAATATTCAAGTCACTAAAAATAGATAAAATAAATTATTACAATGTGTTTCTGACACGGACATCCTGGCAAGTAATTATTAAAAATAAAACTATCCTGGCTGGGCACAGTGGCTCACGCCTGTAATCCCAGCACTTTGAGAGGCCAAGGCAGACGGATCACCTGAGGTCAGGAGTTCGAGACCAGCCTGGCCAACATGGTGAAACCCCATCTCTACTAAAAATACAAGAAATAGTTGGGCGTGGTGGCGGGCGCCTGTAATCCCAGCTACTCAGGAGGCTGAGGCAGGAGAATAGCTTGAACCCAGGAGGCGGAGGTTACAGTGAGCCGAGATCGTGCCATTGCACTCCAGCCTGAGCGACAGAGCAAGACTCTCTCAAACAAACAAACAAACAAAAACTACCCCTAATTAATGTTCCAATAAACAGGAAAAATCTCTCAGCTTCACTATTCGAGTAAGGGCAAATTGCAACAAAAATGAAGAGTTTGTCTATATCATTTGCAAAAAAGCAAAGGATTGACAATATGTAGTATTGATCATAGAGGAGATAACAACAGGACAACTGGTACTTTGAGGGCAACTTGGTTTCATTTACCAAAGTTGTTAATATACTTGCCCTATAATCCAGCATTTTCACTTCTACCCTACATAAATTGTTGGCATATGTTTAGTCCTGAGTCCTACAAATACAAGCTAAGGCTACCAATACTGCTAGAAGCAAAAGCAAAATGTCTATGGGTCTTTTTAGATGAACCCAATGGCTATAGGAAAAAATTGAAAGAACAGACTTGAAGGGCACTGAGAGCAAAATGGCTTGCAAATATACCCTCAAACTTTGGACTAATGAATAATAGTAAGATATCATGATAGTCAATTCATGTGGAGAATCTAAATACTCAACAATTGATTAAGACAAAGCATATTTTAAGAAACAACATAGGATCTAGCAATTATTTGGCCAAATGCTGACAGAATAAAAAGATCCAAATATGTTACAGAGGTAAAGAGATGTTGAATCAATTACAAAAATGGAAAGAAGACAGTGTCATAGGAGATATGTGACATAAAAGTGTCCCTTCCTAGCCACGAACTGTTTCAGCTAGCAATTTAGTGGATTAAGAAAATAAACACAGGGAAACTACTTATGGGAAGCAACATTTTATGATAAGCTATCCAAGAAAAGATTGATTACACCAATAGCATTTTAAGTCAGCCAACAATAAACTTATCTAAAACATGGCTATAACTTCCTATTATTCTCCTGACATCTAATTACATAACTTACCTCCTTTTCACTTGTCATTTCAGTAACTGCAGGCCTTTTCTGAAGATAAAATCAGAATGCAAAATAGATTAGGTATAATAGAGGTAGACACATCATAAGTATTTCTGATGCTGCTTTATCTGGAAGGGATGGGTTTATAACTTTGCCAGAAGATGTAAATATGTATATTTTCATTATGAAATGCTTGAACTATGACTGTGACTACCTAGCTACTATTACTCATAACATTATTTAATTCAACATTTTTACTCATAGCCTGGCATTAGTAAAATAAAGTCTGTTCCTAGAAATAGCATTTTCAATTAGTGGTCTACAATACAATCAACTTGTAAAGTTACATGTTGATATGGTTTGGCTGTGTCCCCAACCAAATCTCATTTTGAATTCCCAGGTGTTGTGGGAGGGGGCCGATGGGAGGTAATTGAATCATGGAGGCAGGATTTTCCCATGCTGTTGTAGTTGTTATTAAAAGGGGGCGTTTTCCTGCACAAGCTCTTTTTGCCCGCTGCCATTCCACATAAGATGTGACTTGCTCCTCCTTGCCTTATGCCATGATTATGAGGCCTCCCCAGCCATGTGGAACTGTAAGTCCATTAAACCTCTTTCTTTTGTAAATTGCCCAGTTTCAGGTATGTCTTTATCAGCAGCGTGAAAATGGACTAATACACATGTTAAATGTACTAAGAAAAATAAGAAAATACCATCCAGGGTCAAGTCCTTTCCTAACCCCTCCTTTTAGCCCTCACCATTATGATTAATTTTAGTCTACGATTTGGTTATTACCATAGATTTTACTCAGACCAAGAAGGTACATGGAGGAAGTCAGGCTGGAGGAAGTAAGACATGAAAATCATGGTATAGAGCAAGCAA
This sequence comes from Homo sapiens, assembly GCF_000001405.40. NCBI lineage: Eukaryota > Metazoa > Chordata > Mammalia > Primates > Hominidae > Homo > Homo sapiens. The sequence goes on from NT_187556.1 coordinate 759,498, forward strand.
TTAGCTGATATTCCAAGTAATTGTATTTGTCTAAGATTCTTTCATGAAATGCATTCGGGTTATTTTTCAACAGCTTTTAACCTCCAACCAGTGAAGGACTGCTGTATCTAGAAGGAAATATGTGCACCCTCTCCCTGCTGCGATCAGCTCAACAAGTAAATATACCCACAAAACGAGAATCATCCAATTTATAGGATTCTGCAGTTCACCCTCAGTCCCCTTTAACAATCTATAAAAAGGATTGACTATGTTTCATATGAAGATTTGTTTTTCATATATTCTGAGCATATTGTAAAAGAGACAAAAACTACTTTTTGCTGGGCAGATATTGGCAATAACATAGTCATGTTTTCAAGAAATATTATTTCTACCAAAACATTAAAAATCACTATGAATGATTTGTCATGTGGCCTTGCATCGGGCTGTGGTAACCTCCACAACAGGCAGTCCTAAATTGGAGTATCTGTGATTTCTTTAAAGACCCTAACAGCATAATGAGTGAAAGTCTACTGAATCTGACTCAACGGCATTAACTGCATCTCCAAGGGTGAAGTGAGAACTGTGTGAGTCAAAGAAAACTTTATAGTACTATAAAATACTGGTGTAGAAGTCACAGGGGAGGGGAACTGCAGGGTAAGTGAGGGTGAGAGCTGACTTCCTGCCCAATCACTAACTTGGCTGAGGCTGGGCCTTCAGTGGCAAAACTTCCTTACCAGCCTTACGTTTGTTTGTTTATTTTCTTTTTGAGATGGGGTCTTTGTTCTGTCGCCCAGACTGAAGTGCAGTGGCACGATCTTGGCTCACTGCAGCCTCAACCTCTGGAGCTCAAGTGATCCTCCTGCCTCAGACTCCTGAGTACCTGGGACTATAGGTGCATGCCACGACGCCTGGCTAATTTTTGTATTTTTTTGTAGAGACAGGGTGCTGCCATGCTGCCCAGGCTAGTCTCGAACTTCTGAGCTCATGCGATTCACTCACCTCAGCCTCTCAAAGTACTGGGATTACAGGCATGAACCACCACACCCGGCCTACCAGCCTTAAGTTTATAATCATAATCACAACCACAGCAAATGAACACACTCCTCTTCTTAAGCATTTCGGACACAAAGTTAAGCTCTCCAAAAACTCAGGGTGCCAGCCATATTGTACTTTTTCTAAATCTCAATGTTACCTGGAAGAAAAGTCAGATGTAAACTAGTCAACATTACTATCTACATTAAATAGAGAAAATATAAACACACACAGAAAACAGAAACATCTTTTCCCAGAGAGAAAGTAGGTGGGGCCTTAAAATTTTTCACTCCTAAATTGAGAGCAGTTTTACTTCAGTTCAATGATCAAATCTATTCTCTACATATTGACAGCTTCAAGCAGATATAAGTAGCAGCAAATTACAATACGTGCCATTTGGAATGCAGTTTTACAATTATAATCTTTAGCTGCATTACATTCACAAAACTCAGAAAGGCTTTATGGATCTCAAAGGGGACTAATGAAAATATTTGGTCAGAACACAAATGAAGTGTAAAGCCAATAGCTATTTTTAAAATACAAAAATTACTTAACACAGTTCACAGCACACAGTAAATACTACGTAAACAATAGGGCTTTTTAAATTTATTTAAAAGATCACATATATTCCCAAAAACCAGAAGTAGTAAGTGCTAATATTTTGGTTTATATTTATTTCTAGCCTTTCCCACATTATACTTTCTTATAATTTATTGATGATATTTGGAAAAGTCACCTCTTTTTGAAAATTTGCAGTCTCAAATATTTTGCTAATGATCTAAATCTAGTAATTTTACAATTGATGCTACTGGGCCTTCTAAGTATAAATTCATAATGTCTAAATAATACTGTTTGTTTTCCTCTGTATGTGTGTAAAATTATTTAAATCCATAAAAAATTCTAAAACAATATTAGTAATGGTGATATGGAGCAGATCTTAATTTATTAGTGCTCTTTCTATGAGATGGAGTGTTAATTTGCTGGTAAATTAATATCTCTTTCCAATCATCTTCAATGCTACTTCCAATACAGGATATTCAGCAGCCATTGATGGCAGAGTGGCGACAAGCCAGGCAATGTTCTAAGCAATCTGAACAATTCATTTAATCCCCACACCTTGGTGGGGGGTACATTAATATGAAACAATTTATTTAATCCCCACAACAACCTAAAAAGTTGGGCATTATTATCATTCCCATTTTATTGATGAGGAAACTAAGGTAGAGAGAGCTTGAGTAATTTGTTCAAGGTCTCATTGCTAGTAAGGCACCAAGCCATAGTTCAAATCCAAGCAAAGCTGGCAGTTCCAAACTTCTTTTCAAATATGTACTGCAAGGGGAAGAGAAACATCAAACTTCAGGAGAAAGCCAACATGCTGGCCAGGTATCACCAAGTCGAAAATGCAAACTAGAATGGTAGGCCAGCAGCCTCATATGATAGGCCAGAGAACACTAGCATTCCTGCAATACAGGAAAGATCTCTGCAGAAAGAAGATACATTTTTGTACAAACTATGGCCAATGATAAGAGTTCTCTAAGGAAAGGCAGATTTCATGCTTCAGACACTCCACGTGGTAGAGTAATGGCTTCCGGTTGGCCCAGGAATCTCATAGACTTCTCAAGCCAGTGAATTTTAAGTAAGCTGTTGGCACTAATTCTCTTGCACTCCTTTCTCCCTATTTCTTCCCTTCACGAGCGGGAGGGAGGCATGGTCTCATTTCAGCAGCTGTGACTCAGCTGTCTACTCTACATGCCCACACTAGGAATTTGGACAACCCTTTAGAGATGCCATTTACAAGTGAGAAACTGTTGGGAGAACAAGGATGTGTGCCTCTTTCAGTTAGCATCTCTTTTGTGTAATAAATATTTTTAACCTAGTTTATTTCAGCATCTACAACCCATATATTTCCTCAGGAAGGGCATTTAGTTTACTAGAACCAGCTATTTGAGAATATCTGTATTTAAGCCCGCCTACATATCCCTAAAGCAGGACAAGGCAATTATATTCTAAACTGTCTCCTACAGAGTTCAAAGCAATCCCACAAAGGAAGAGAAAGGAAATATCAAGGGTATCTGTCAAGTGTCTGTCTGCATAGAGTACTGCACAGACCAGGGCATAAGAGAACATTCGCTGGTCCCTTTCATGAATTCCATCCTACTTTTCAAGGAAAACGCAGAGCTCTACTTATTCTAAATGATCATTTATTTAAAATGAAAAAAAAAAATCAAATGTGAGGAGTTGCGAAAGACTCCCAAGCCCACTTAGTACAATTCTCCACCCAGTATAGGAATGTCCTCTAGAGTCTCAAGACAGATGGCCTCTCTGCATCTGCTTGGATATTTTTCATACTCTTCATCTTAAGAAAGGACAGGACTTCTGTGATATCAATGGTATTCCTCCGTGGTGTCTTTGAAATCACTGGACTATTCAGATGGAATGGCACGGCACATTTGAGAAATTAGATCTTTCCAAAGGCTACACCCTATTGAATGTAACATAACCACTGGAAATCGGAATTGAGAATGACTTTAAGAATCATTTAAGCACAGGTCACCACAATCTAGGTCAGTTTAGTAAGAAGTCCACGGGTGTATAAATGTGATGCCTACCTAGAATGATCACTTTATAAGGATTACCTTCCTATACTGACCCAACTTTTCAAAACATGGTTTTATTTCTGTTGCCTTTTTCTTACTCAAACCAATGTCTACTTAAGTTTTCTCTTTCCTTACTATTTAATTGACCTTAATAACCCTATTAAAAAAAGACTAACAGTAGTTAATAAATCACTAAAAGAAAAGAGAAACTATAGTACTGGGATTCTGATAGCTCATGGGTCACAACTGGGAGAAAAATAAAAGTAGATTCATTCAGCCCTTAAGAAGGACTGAGTAGAGCAACAAATTCCCTGTGATACTCCCCAAACTCTAAGGCACAATCCTATTCATCCTAAATATACTTATAATAGTAAATAGATACTCACAGAAAAAGTCCACATTTTCTCCAACTCCTAGTATTAGAGTTTCAGAACCTGAAGGAATGTCAAGATTTTACCTGAATCAGCTCCCTATCTCCAGGTAGGAAAGGTATCATAGCCTCCTTTCACACCCCAGATTCTCTAAGGTTAACTGAGTTTCTCAGACTCATAGTAAATGATGAGCGTCTCCATCGCGGGACCCCTTCTTCCTAGTGCGGCAGTTCTTTCCCTGTTGCACACCACCCTGCAATGTTTAATTATTCAAGTTGCCTCTGTCAGCCGATTTGATTTTTTAAATATTTTTTGGTAGTATGCACAACTGAAATAACCTCAGAGTGAAAAAAATTTAAAGAGAGCAGCTATTGTATATCATTCACCTAAATTTTTAAAAAATGAATCAAATAGGTGAGAAGTTGGATTGCCTTGCCACTACTTATTTGTAAAACCTTATCTTCTGGAGGAGATTTGTTCTTTTATTGTTCTGTCCAGTTGATCTAATGTAACGATGCCATTGCTAAGCTTTACTAAGTGTGGTACACAGAATATGTGAAACCAAATGCTTGCTTCATAAAGTAACCTAAACGGTTTTATTAAGTCACATATTATGTGTTCAGACTGTAGGTGGTACTTTCACTTAATATTTACAAGTGTTTAAGTTTTATATTATTTAATATTTATGAATATTAATTTCCATTTTTTCACTTGATATAAAATGTTAACATTTTATTTACTATAAACATTCAATTTCATTTAATATTTACAAACAAGGTCAATGAAAAAGTTCTCATTTTACACCTCAGAAAACTGCTTTAAAGAACAGTTCATTGATTTGGCCAAGGTCAGACAGCTATTAATTGGTGAACTGAAACATGTTATCCGATTCCAAAGCTTGTATACTTTTCAAATAAAAGCAACAGGGGTCTTAATGACATCGCGGAATGAAGAAATGGCAGGGACTCTTCAGAAGCATACGGCCTAGACTAGGGAAGTATTACAAAATCACACACAACCTGGCAGAAAACACAGACAGTCAAGAGCTATTGTCTACAGATCACTGTACAAAGTTCCTCCCAACGATCTCAGAATTCTCCAACGGCAAGAATTCTATGTGAAAATTGAAAGAAAAAAATGTTTTTCTCTAGGAATCTTAGTTTTTAATCTTGAGAAAAATCTGGATGAGGAATCATATAAAAATTTAACTTGTTCTTAATGTCCAAAGCCACAAAACCATTGCCACAATTAAGAATGCTTTTTCTTTTAATGAATAAGTTAGCTATTATTTTTAATAAACACAAAAGAACTGTCTTCCTATTTTCAGTGGTGAAAAACATGCCATTTGAGATATGCAGTGAGAAAAAAAAAAAAAAAATTATTCTCACAAATCACTTCCACAAAGCCCTCTGGCAGAGATGACTCTTGAGGATAATGTCCATTTGTTAAGTTCTCCTCTCTTCAGAGAGAACAGGCTGGAGCCACTGAGCAGCATCTGAATCCAAGAGGCAGCAGATGAGCCTTGTTGAAGATAATGGCATGATAAACAAACCCTAATCCAACCAGCGTTATGATTACAATAATATTAAATCCCTCTATAAAAGATTCTTGATGTTTATTCACTCAATCACAGTAATCTGTTTGAAACCAGCAGGGTCCATGACACATAGGAAGGCTTAAATAAATTACTATTCAAAATAACTGAAAATTTAAAAAAAAATTCCATTCCTATATATACGATAAAAATGGTGGTTGTGCTAAATTTTTGATGGTTGAGATTAAATGTTTGGGGCTGATAATATATTTGTAGGTGACATCAGAGCTCACTAAACCTAGTTAACAGTAAAGAATTTAATTCAATAAACATGTAGTGAAGTATCAGTACTACACTCAATCTGGGGAATACAGAGATGAAAAGTGCCTGTCCTAAACAGGACTACAGAAATATAAGTACATAATTACAGTATGAGAAATATATGCCATGTGTACAGGCAGCAATAGGATACATGGTTAATAAGTACTTATACTTGGGTGGATGGTCAAAAAAGACTTCACAGAAGATCTGACATATTAACTAATTTTTGCAACAAGAATGACGACCACCACACACACAAAAAAAGTACAAAAGCAGCATGATTAACGATTAATGCAGCATTAACTTTGTTGATGGGCAGGATCAAGTTGAAGGTGGAATACTAAGATAAGAACTGGAGAGGTGGCCGGGCACGGTGGCTCACACCTGTAATCCCAGCACTTTGGGAGGCGGAGGCAGGCGGATCACGAGGTCAGGAGATCGAGACCATCCTGGCTAACACGGTGAAACCCAGTCTCTACTAAAAATACAAAAAAAAAAAATTAGCCGGGTGTGGTGGCTGGCGCCTGTAGTCCCAGCTACTCGGGAGGGCTGAGGCAGGAGAATGGCGTGAACCCGGGAGTCAGAGCTTGCAGTGAGCCGAGATCACGCCACTGCAGTCCAGCTTGGGTGAAAGAGCCAGACTCCATCTTAAAAAAAAAAAAAAAAAAGAACTGGAGAGGCAAACAACACTCAATAACAACTGGCTTTTATTCCATGCTGAGTATCCTGTATTGCCTTGTAATGAGGTACATCAGTGAGATCTGTGTTTTAACACATTAACAATAGTATACAGGATAGATTGCAGAAGGCCATCCACAGAGACAAAAACAAAATTTGAAGATGTGATAGCAATAGTCTGGGTAAGAGTCGGTGAAGAGCTAAACTAACTCAGGTTTAAAACCAGATCTACTGTTGGTGTTGTGCTATACACATAATTTTATGGATATAATAATTATATATAATAAAATTATATAGATATAATAATTATAAAATTATAATTATATAGGTAATATCACTATATAATTATAGTTATCTCAGATAATTATCTATATAATTTTATGTGTATATATATATACTGTAAAGTAGGACATTTTATCTAAAGTCTGTATTTTCCCCTTTTTTTATATAGTACTCTGACGTGCCTTGGAAAGTAATTCCTTTTTTTTCTTGAGCTAACATTTACGTTTTCAAAACAATCTCATTAGTTTTAACAAGTGGTCAAGTATTAAAGATACACGGTATGTGTGAGGAATAAGAGAGCCAAGAAGTTAAAATACCAGGACAAGATAAGCCACTATGAAAGTCATGCCTAGGAAGACAACAGAGTACTAATTGTAATTTCAAAATTGCCCTATGGATCATAATATTCTCCCTGCAACCTTTCCCAAGAATAGGCCATTAAATATCAGCACCTCCAAAGAGAAGTTTATACACCATTTGTACATAGAAAAACTATAATGGTTAATAATGCAAATTCAAAAGCAATCATGTTAGAATGGAAAGCATGGGAGTCATTTAATAATGTCAACAGGTACAGATCACTTTAATACAAGAAAACTAATGTGTTTGCATATCATTAAAGGTTCTTTCTGGGTCTATCACTATTATAAATCATTCTGACTTCACTAACATATAATAATTAGCCAATAAAGGTGGGCCTTCCATTTTGATTTGCTTAATAACAAGAAAATTTGTTCGATCATCATGGTATTTTTGTCACTCAGTATCTCTTCCTTAACTTTCTCATAGCCAATAATATTGCCAGGAACTCATGGTTTGCTTTTCCTCCCTGAGGAACAAGCAGAATTCCACAGGGAATCTTACGTGGTATGAGAAGAAAAAGGAACGTGGTCCTTTTCGTGTCTAATTCCCAGACACATTCTTGGCAACCACTTTGTGTGTGTTCCTCTCACACTCTTCACATTCTGGGCAATGTATCACATTACTTCCCACCCATATACAGAGAGATGAAAGAGAAAGTAAAAATGCCTAGGTGCAAGTGAATTTATTTGTTTTTAAATTATTTTAGATGCAAAGATGGACGCTAACATTCTATTAGACACTGTATCTCGTCAAAAAAAATTGATATGTATTTTTGCCAATGCTAGGCTTTATGAATTCCATTTATTACAAAGGTCTAACCATCTAAAATCCATTAGGTGTTAATTTTTAACATAATCACAGTTCCTTCAAACCATCCCCACCCTCGCACTCCTCAAAATTCCAAATACTCCAAATAAAATGTTACCTTTAGGAAAAATGTGGCTTGACCTAGAGGTCGCAGTCCTCATTACAAACTTGTTCTGCATGTCCTAAAGCAGGGGTCCCTAACCCCCAGGTCATGGACTGGTACATGTCTGTGGCTTGTTAGGAACCCGGCTGCACAGCAGGAGGTGAGCACTGGCTGAATGAGCATACTGCCTGAGCTCTGCCTCGTGTGTCAGATCAGCTGAGGCATTAGATTCTGATAGAAGTGTGAACCCTATTATGAAGTGCACATGTGAGGGATCTAGGTTGCAAGCTCCTTATGAGAATCTAACTAATGCCTGATGACCTGAGGTGGAACGGTGTCCTCCCCATACCAGCCCCCCAATCCCTCACCCTCATCTGGGGAAAAATTGTCTTCCATGAAACCAGTTCCTGGTGCCAGAAAGGTTGTGAACCACTGTCCTAAAGCATCTACCATAAGCATATGTCCACCGTATCCAGATCCTGAGCCTCCTCCTCAGCACCAGAACACTACTAAAAGCAGCAAGGGGGAAACTGAGGAAAAAATCACACCTCTGCCAAATTTTAAGTGTTGCTTAGGGTGTCTCTGACATTATCTCAACCACCTTCTTGTCTATATCATTCTTTTTTTCCATCCCTATTTTTGATGCCTATCCTTGCTCAGAAATACTTCACTGTAATGATCCCCTCTAGCTCTGTAAAGCACTCTATTGTGTCACCAATCCACACTACTCCCCAATATACTCAGTCACCTAAGAGCTATGCCTTCCTTTTCTGAAAATTCTTATCAGGACTTTACGGAGAAACCTCCAAATGTCTACAAAGAACTAGTATCCAGTAATTCAAATGAAGTATAAATGGTAACACCAAAGCTATTCTGTTTTGTTTGGTTTCTGAATGCTTTTAATGTTTTTGTTTTACCACATGATGTCTACAGAGCTGTAAGGAAAACACTTGGGGCATGGGGCCATTATTTGAAATATTGGAGTCTACTAAATCTGTGCACTACAGACCACGGAAAGATTAAAATGGACACTAAAAGGGGGTAAGTGTGGCCTTGAGCTGCCTCTTTTAAATATTAGAAAGTGAAAAGACAGAGAATGCGGCCGGGCGCGGTGGCTCACGCCTGTAATCCCAGCACTTTGGGACACCAAGGCGGGCGGATCACGACGTCAGGAGATCGAGACCGTCCTGGCTAACACGGTGAAACCCCGTCTCTACTAAAAATACAAAAAAAAATTAGCCGGGCATGGTGGCGGGCACCTGTAGTCCCAGCTGAGGCTGAGGCAGGAGAATGGCGTTAACCCGGGAGGCGGAGCTTGCAGTGAGCAGAGATTGCGCCACTGCACCACTCCAGCCTGGGCGACAGAGCGAGACTCCGTCTCAAAAAAAAAAAAAGAAAAAGAAAAAAAGAAAAGACAGAGAATGGAAATTCAATAGGAAACCAATCTGAGAACCTGTTTAAAACTTAAATTTCCAATAATCTTGCTGTTCTGGGAACCTCTCATTGCCAGTGTTGTGGAGCCAGGGCAAGACCGATTCTGGGGTTGAAGAGGATCATATGCTCTTTATGTTCCCAACAAAAAAACTGTTAAGCAATAATAGCGAGAAGAGTATCTGTTCCTCTAAAGTCTTCCCTCCAAAAAGGAAGGTAACAAAGGATCCAAAAGCTGTGCTTCCAAACTTCCCAAGATCAACTCTTTCTTCTTGGGGAAGATCATGGTGTTGGTTTAGTTAGGTAGGAAATCCTTCATAATAGCTGTCTAGTACTAAAGCCCAATTAGCACCTAGCAAACGAATAATCATGCGTAACACTGAATGTGTATAAGATCTACTATATTGTGAGTTTATATCACTACATTTCCAAACTTTTTTCGAGTGTATTCAGCCTACCTTGCACTTTGCTTAAAATGTAGCTACCTGTTCTTCCCCAAAAAGGAATGGAACATTGTCTTTGTCGATAGTGTGTCGAGAAAAATAGTCATCCCAAATAACTGAATCAAATTGAAAGAAAAAATATAAATTGTCTCAATGAGGTTAAAATTCTTGGAATGATCCTTTTTTCTATGCATAGGGAAATTAATCAATAAAATAAACACAAGGCGGTAAACTGAATTATTTGCACAATTTTGCCTGAAATTCTTGTAAGCAGAAAACTAAAATATCTATTTTTCCTTCTTTAATCTGTGAATCAACTGTTGGTTTTTAATCAATAAATGTTTAATTACTACCCACTAAATCCTAGACCTTACTTTAGGTATATGGAACATGCTTTGATGAATGAGACTTTGCCATTGCCCTCAGAATGCTTAGAGCTCCCTGGAGAAGCCCGGGCATAGAAACAAATAATGACAACCCAAGCAACTGGTGGTAATTATTAATACAACAGAAAGTACAAGCAAAGTGATGTGAGCATTTAGAGAGCAGCAGGAATTTTACATTTGCCATTTACAGTCAGGAAGAACTTACGAAAATGACAGCATTAAGAATAAATCACGAAAGATTTTGTAAACTAAAGCTGAAGAAGGACATTCTAGTGGTGGGGACAGTATAGACAAAAAGCCACACAGTGTATCTGGAGAACAGTGTAACATGTAGCTTAGATTTGAACCAAAAAACAGTGGCAGATAAAGATAGAAATTAAGTGGTTATTCTCAGTATAATCAATTTCAACTCTGGATAAAATGACGAAATTCAATTTTGGTATTTGGAAGAGACCTTCTGTGCCCAGGTAAAATAGCCTACTTGATATTTATATGTTATTGTTTGCCAGCATGTCTTAAATATCAATATCATCTTTCCTACATTAGCTTCTAGTTGCTTATAAAAAACACAATCATTCTTTTCCATATTGTTGTTTAAAATCAACATTGATCAAATCTGACAGATATATTTTTCCTAATGTCATTTATAAACAAGTAAAAATTCACTGTATTTTTAGTACATCAACTGGTAAAGAAATGTATTAGAATATTTTATCTTAAAATTATAAAGCAATAAAGTTTTAGGGGAAAATAAATCTTACCTTGTGGAATAAAACTGGAAAATATAATTTGGGAGTTTATGAGTTTGGAAAGATGGGAGCAAAAAGGGATATGAAAACAAAATAGGGCTGGTTGCCAAAAGCAGTCCCATAAATATTTTTAAGAACATCGGTATTTGTGGCAGAAGATATTAGTCAGTCTCTTTTCCTAAAAGTGAGAATAAGAGAATGGGGAGTTTTTTTAAAAGTGTGTATTATTTATTTTCCTTTTTTTCAATCTAATGGTAATACTCCTCTGACAAAGATTCGAAACTCGTTGAATATAAGAACAGGATTTTTTACAAATCATTCAAGACGACTCTTCACAAGTATTCACTTTTCCAGAATTACGATTCATTTCAGGAAGGAAGGACTCAGTAACTACACAAGAGAACACCTCTCCACTTCCCACCTTACACAATATACCCAAAATGTACTGCTGTTCTCTTTTACCCAGAATTACAAGGATCAGCATACAAACAGCAGAGAGGAGTTGATTATAAATGATGGAATTATCATGAAATAATATTTCTTCAAGCTCCGCAATCAATCTAAAAGAAGCTAAAATTGTGTTCTTAAAATCCTTCTGGTGTAAAAAGCATTTGGGTTTCGTTAATGTTTTGGTTTGGCTTATAAGAACACCTTACTCTTATGAACTAACAATTCATGATTCATGAGGCTAGGCCCATTCAAATAAGAAACACACATTGCTAAACAACATACAAAGGCTCATCCACCTAAGAGGCCTGGCCAGCAACCAGGAGCCAACAGAGCTGCTTTGTATTTCTTCAGGGAGATCCCTCTGCCTACAACTGTATTTTTGTGTTGTGCATTTTCAAAGTGTGTTGTTGAAAGGTTATGTTTAATTTTTCATGATGCATTATTTTTCCTCATGCACACATTTTTAGCATGTTATTTTTGTTGTTATTTCCGGAATGAATTTAATATTTTAGTTTCTGCATGTGTGCACATGCATGGGTATATGTAAATTGATTTCATTATCTTTAATTAGTAAAAACTCACTCTCCCCCACCTTCTCCCAACAAATATAACTACTGTGAAAGCTGAATCACTAGGAAACTCAATGGTCATACTACTGCATGGAGAAAAAGAAGAAAAAAAGCCAACACACAAAGAGAAATAGGTAAGTGAGATGAAGATATCATTGGGGTCTGTGTCACATTTCTAGTTGTTCCAGAGGTCAGACTGCATTCCTGAGCTCTCCATGGCTTCTTGTTTATTATTCACTTCATCTTTGGACTTCATTAGATTCCCATGTACTTTCCAATATATTCTTTTTTTCCCTTCCAAATAGTCTGATCTTTGTTTGTAATCAAAAGGTTCACATTATTGGTTCCATTTGTTACAGCATGGGAGAACACTTTTTTCCCAAAGAACTCAAAATAGTTTTTAACATTTCACGGACGCAAAAAAAAAAAAAAAAAAAAAAAAAAAACCTGAGCATTTCTGATGTTTAGAAATATTAAAAAAAAGAAGAAGAGGTTGAAATGTCTAATATAATAACCTGGTCAGTTACTGGTACATACTGAGCTAACGCTAAAATTTTCAAAATGACTCCTCTTCATTCCCTAGTCTATGTGGTTCAAACTCAAAATGGGCATACAGTCATCTTAAAATAGGTTCAGCTATCTCTAGCAATTATAAACTCTTTCCATGAATAAACTTTTTCTAAGCACCTAAAATCACATGAATATATCTGCCTGACAAAAATTTGGGAAGTCCAGCATCTCTGATTTAAAAAGAAGAAACTATTTGTAATTTTAGTCTCTTGTTCTTAATGCAGGATCTGACCATTGGTTAGTAATGCAACAGCTGCGATTAGCAATGAAGGAAAACTATTTTCAGAGTCTTCTCATGACCTAGCCACATTAGCAATCTAAAAATAAAAAAGGAAAAGTTTTTAAAAGCTTAACCTTTTATAAAGTGACTAAACTTCATCAAGCCATCACAAACAGATTTCTAGGACTTTTTTTGAGAAGAAGAAAATAGGATCATTAGTTTAATGACAGTAACATTTGTGCGGGTATACAAACAACATATATGTCAGAACAATTTAAAAATTATATACTGAATATGCTTTATGGCTTTTTATAGTATTTTGTTGAATCTATATTTGTTTTGGGGAGTTTTGTTTTAGGTTCTATGTGTGAGTGTGAGTGTGTTTGTGTGTTCTCGATTTTAAAACTATTTCTTGAGTTCTTTAGACCATAAGAACATAATGTATAATAGTAAAGACTTATTTCAATTTATTTGAACTTTTTTCAAAAGTAACATAGATTGGCCAGGTGCAGTGGCTCACACCTGTAGTCCCACACTTTGGGAGGCAGAGGCGGGTGGATCATGAGGTCAGGAGTTCAAGACCAACCTGACCAAGATAGTGAAACCCCATCTCTACTAAAAATACAATACTTAGCCAGGAGGGGTGGTACATGCCTGTAATCCCAGCTACACGGGAGGCTGAGGCAGGAGAATCACTTGAACATAGGAGGCAGAGGCTGCAGTGAGCCAAGATCACGCCACTGCACTCCAGCCTGGGTGACAGAGCAAGAGTCTGTCTCAGAAAAGAAATAAATAAAATACAGTACATAAAAAATAAAAAATAACATGGATTAATTGACTCTTAAGAGAACTATAGCAAATAATATGTGGTGCAAAAAAAGGTTTATTATGGCTGGGTGTGGTGGCTTACACCTGTAATCCCAGCACTTTGGGAGACAAAGGCAGGAGGATTGCTTGAGGCCAGGAGTCAAGATCAGCCTGGTCAGCACAGAGAGACACCTAGTCCCTACAAAAAGTAAAAAAAAAAAAAAAAAATTAGCCAGGCATGCTGGCAGGTGCCTGTAGTCCCAGTTACTTGGGAGGCTGAGGTGGGAGGATCACTTGAGCCCTGGAGTTCAAGGCTGCAGTGAGTTATAATCACAACACTACGCTCCAGACTGGGTGATAGAGTGAGACCCTGTCTCTTAAAACATTAATAAATAAATAAAAGTTTTAAAGGTTAATTTTTACAGCTACAGATAAAGATATAGTGCAGAGAAAGAATAGTGGCTGCGGAAAAGTCATTTTGAGACAGGAAGTTCAGGCTTGCTCATCTGGTCAAGTTAATATCTGGAAGATGAAGGCTGAAGCCCACATCTCTCAAGGAAGTAAGATTTTGCTTGAAATTACACTATTCTCAGTCGTATAAAATCAGACTAGTAAGTAAATAAGTGCGATGTGGAAGTTCAGAAGGATTCCTTCTCCTTTACTGACAGGTCAAAAAGCCTATGAAGAACAGCAGAAGTCATGAGGGAATTCTGGCTCTGATGTTCATTCACCCTTTTTCTCTGATCCAAATCAGCATCTCCTTCGGCCCAAAGGCTGGAGGATACTCTTCTAGTGTCACTTCTCTTCCAGAAAAGGGAAGAGCTTACTGTTAGAAACTGCTAAGCCCCAAGTCACTCTCAGGCTACTGTATTGCTTTACCTCAAAAACATCCTTAACAACAGTATTTCAGTAAATCTGACTTCATGCACCGTTAAGAATGAAGGATGCTGTCACTAATGCTAAAATCTTCCTGATTTTAGATATGTTAAAATGTGAAAAAAATACATTTAAGAATCTAAAAACCATGTATCAGCCACATACAACTAACATCAAAGAACTGCCAGCTATATTCCTTTCCTTTCCTTTTTTTCTTTTTTTTTTATTTCAATAGGTTTTTGGGGAATAGGTGGTGTTTGATTACATGAATAAGTTCTTTAGCGGTGATTTTTGAGATTTTGGTGCAGCCATCACCTAAGCAGTGTACACTGTACCCAATGTGTAGTCTTTTTTTTTTTTTTTTTGAGACGGAGTCTCGCTCTGTTACCAGGCTGGAGTGCAGTGGCGTGATCTCGGCTCACTGCAACCTCCGCCTCCCGGGTTCAAGTGATTCTCCTGTCTCTGCCTCCTGAGTAGCTGGGACTATAGGCATGTGTCACCATGCCCAGCTAATTATTTGTATTTTTAGTAGAGTTGGGGTTTCACCATGTTAGCCAGGATGGTCTCGATCTCCTGACCTGGTGATCCGCCTGCCTCAGCCTCCCAAAGTGCTGGGATTACAGGGGTGAGCCGGTGTGCCTGGCCCCAATGTGTAGTCTTTTATCCCTCACAACCCCTCACCCTTTTCCCCGAGTCCCCAAAGGCTAATGTATCATTCTTATGCCTTTGCATCCTAATAGCTTAGCTCCCACATATGAATCAGAACATATGATGTTTTGTTTTCCATTCCTGAGTTACTTCACTTAGAATAATAGTCCCCAATTCCATCTACTCCTTTCCTTTCATAACTTTTCTTCTACAACTACCACAACTATCCCAGGTTAGACCAACATTACCTCAGGCTTAGTCTGCTAAAAAAGACTTACTATTGGATGCATCCCTACAAATCTCCTCCAGGTCTCTGATCCATCCCATCTCACATACAGTCTCCAGATCATGGCTCATCCACTTATCTGGGAAGCTTTCATGAGAAAGCTTCCATGGATCCACCCACTGACTCTTCACTCTGACGTTCAGGCACTCTACCACCTTGACTCCATCTACTTTTACAGGCTTACATTTCCCAATAAGCATCGGCAAAAAATTGTTTCATAGCATTTCTATGTATTTTGCTTAAAAAGAGGGTTTCATAATTAAATAAACTAGCATAAATAACATTAAATACTTTTTTTACTACAAGACTGCTCAGAATCTTTAATATGTAATGTTTGAAAAATTTCCAGGAGGCAGATATAGTACCCAATGTTTCCAAAACTAATTTCACCATAGAAACCTCTGTGTGCATGTTATCTCTTGGGACTAGTATTCTTGGTGAAATAAACTATGACTTTCTGCTTCCCATATTTATTCTTCTGATTTCTTCCCATAATTATTCCTCTGATTTCTAGTCCTTGCACATTCAAGTCACTTTGTTGAGGATGCCTTTCCCTTATGTGCCTCCAATGCGTATTAGTATTTATCAACTTCACTTTTTTTCTAGGCCTAGTTCAAATATCAGTTCATTTTTAAAGCTCCCCTTGAGGTCTCTAGCTGCAAGTAATATCTCCCAGAGAACACTGTTTCTATTTTTCTTTCATTATCTAACACTTTCTACTTTTCTATGAAAGCTATTTTTACAGTATTTTATTCAATCCTTATAATCCCTTTGGAAGCATCATCTGGACCTTATCATTGTATTCTTCTCAGCACCCAACAGAAAAATTCAAATATAGCTTAATCCTTATAACTTCTTCTAACTCTCTCAGGACCCCTTCACAGACCAAGCTCCTTCAAATGCTCTTTGCTTTGAAAACAATGAATGAAATATTTAAAATCTTTAAAATCATGTAGGAACAAGATGTAACATTTTCAAAGAAAAACTTTGTAGTTCTAACATTTTACTGAACATCTGGTCACTTATCTTGTCATTTGTAATTAAAATGGCTTTTCTATAACCCATGTTTTGGCGGGAAAAGTGAAACAAAAACATTTGTCTCTACATAAGGTCGACTTACAAAGTTTTTTTTCTTGATTTGCCTGAAATTAAATATATAATGTTCCTACTGCAAGTAAAAACTACCAAGGAACACTTGTTAAATAAACTGGTAAGACTTAAGATTTCAGGGCCTTGACTTTTCCTGGTACTCCTCAATTTCAGTCTTTTGATAATGGAATCTTCCACACAGCCAACACTGCAACTGGTGAGGCATAAGTTCTCTTTTCAAAACATAACACATGAATAAGTTTAAAGATTATGATCTTCCTTTAATGTAGTTCCCCATCATGTGTTCTAACGTGCCATTAGTACTGAACAGGCACATGTTAAAGGTGTGGAGCTAGCATTGATTCATTAATAATAGTAATAGCTAACACTCAGTGCCACTCTATGCGCCAGAGAGTGCTTATGTGCTTTGTGTGCATTCTCTCTCTTAACCCTCACAATTCTTTAAAGAAAGCACTATTATTGACTCCACAAATAAGAATACTTTAAGAGGTGTTATGTAATTTAGCCAAGTTCACACAGCCAGTAATGACAGTTCCAAGATTTCAATCCAGGCAGTCTGACTCCAGAGCCCAAACTCTAAGCCACACCACTCCCTTGCCTGCCTTCTATTTAGGTACACAGGAACTACTGTGCAGTTACATTCATGGCTGAAGAGCCACTCCTATCAACCCTATCAATAAGCACACTTCTTTGTGCCATTGCTGACAATCAGAAGATATGCCACAATATCAGAAAGCAATAATGTCTGTGCTCCTTCCCAGACAAATGAAGTATGTCCTCCTGGAGAAAGACAATGTAACATATGAACATGATTTTTACTTTTTTATGATTCAATTAATCCATTCATTAAATACATTTAATGAATCTATTACTTCTGTATTCCCCAAAGTAAAGCTAGATATCGTCTTCAATTCCTGGATGACTGCCACACCAGAAGTAGTCCCTTCTCCTGAAGCCCTCCCTCCACATAGCCTCCACACAGCCAGGATCAACCACGACCATCAGCTAGCAAGACAATATAAAACAAAATGTTTGGGCCAGGTGCGGTGGCTCACGCCTGCAATCCCAGCACTATGGGAGGCTGAGGCGGGCAGATCATGAGGTCAGGAGATCGAGAGCATCCTGGCCAACAGGGTAAAACCTCGTCTCTACTAAAAAACACAAAAAATTAGCCGGGCATGGTGGTGGGTGCCTGTGGTCCCAGCTACTTGGGAGGCTGAGGCAGGGGAATCACTTGAACCCGGGAGGCGGAGATTGCAGTGAGCCGAGATCACGCCACTGCACTCCAGCCTGGTGACAGAGAGAGACTCCGTCTCGAAAAAAAAGAAAAAAAAAGTTTGGCATCATCCTTTCCATGTACAGTGAAATGAGAAATCATATGAGAATCTGTGGACACTGTGAAATGACAAATCTGCTTCCTAAGAATTCAATGGAGTTACTCACTCAGCGATAAGACCGAGTCCATTCTTCAACTGAAGAATTAGCTGCTCAGAATTATAGTAGGACTTCCATCGCTAAGCATCGTACTCCAGCTTAGGAGAAAGCAATTATAGCAATCTAAAGATGCACATCATTAGTAGACTACTAAGGTCTAAAGCCTATCGTTATCTATTCTTTCAACTGTTCAGTAAATATATATTAAATGTAGACACTGTTCTAAGCATACTGAGATCAGTAAAGACAACGAGATGTTCATGGAGTCTACGTTCCACAAGCAATGGCAGTTAGATCTAGGAACGTCATACAGAGTGCTAGAGGGGATACCTCCCTGAGGAGGAACTAGGATGACTGGAAGAAATATGTCAATGTGAAGATCTGTGGTAAATAGTCATTCCAGACAAACTAACAGCAAGTACAAATTACATCAACAAGTTAACTAACCTACAAACAAATGAATACTCAGAATGAATTTCAATGACCTATCCTGACTAAAGTACCGATGGGGTCCCCAACCTATGATGGATTGACTTGCAATTTTTCTACTTAACAATGGTGCAAAGGTCATATACATTCAGTATTAACTGTCCTTAGAGTACCCATACAGCCATCCTGTTTTTCACTTTCAATACAGTATTCAATACATTGCATGAGATATTCAACACTTTATTATAAATAGGCCTTGTGTCAGATGACTTTGCCCAACTGTAGGCTAATGTAAATGTTCTGAACATATTTAAGGTGGAATAAGCTAGGTTGTAATTTTCATTAGGTTAGGTGTATTAAAAGTATTTCTACTTAGAATATTTTTTCATTTATGATAGGTTTATCGGGATGTAATCCCTTCATAAATCAAGAAGTATCTGCACATTTGTTAAGAAAATGTAAGGCCTTAAATCCAAGTGATGCTACTAGTAAACTAGGGGAAGTCACTTAGCTTATGTGTGTGTCAATTTCATCATCCTTAAAAGGAGGGACAGGAACACATGACCGTAAGGTACCTTCCAACTCGAAATTCTTAGAATTCTATGGTCACGAAGTCTAAACTTCAAGTTGCTTTTTCAAAGTAGATAATTAATGTGTACTTCCACCATTATAGCCTTGCCCTGCCTCCCTGGTGACAGAGCTGACAGGGGCTATGTCAAAGATGTGCTCCAGAAAGGACTAAAGCTATCATCCACCAGGTGATAAGCCTATGACCTCCAGGTGACTAATACATTATTCCAAGCAACTGAGCTAATGGCCAATACAAAAACCTTCTTGGCTTTTTGATAAAAATAAAGATTCATACTTCCTCATCCCGTCCTACTAATTAGACTGCAATAAAACAAAGGTAATAGTTCCAATTCCAAAGTTATAGCAAAGTAAAATCTGACAACTAAAAACTTCACCAACATCTAATCTATAAAATATATATCTTTTTACAATGCATTCCATTGCATTCCAGTGGCAAGACATGAGAGCAGAGAAATGTTTTAAAGGGGCATTTCTGTTTAAAAAAGAAAATCCTAGAGGCTCTTCTAGAAGTTTGCCTTAGTGACTCAGAATGTAAACTTACTCAATTCAGTGAGGTGTGCATTATTAATTAGATAATTTCTACCTTGAGAGACTTACAAAAAAGATCAAATAGACAGAGAACATCAACCATAATGAGATATATTTGTATAATCATCAATGCAATATAAAGTTAATTTTAAACTATAGGCATTTTATCATTTTTGAATTCACTTATTAGGTATGAAATTTTATTTATAAAAGATCAGAATGAAAATTTCAGTAGTTTGTAAGAGATTTTACATGGAATTGTGATGATGAAAAGGTTCCCTGTGGGAATAATAGAATCACCTTGATGGATGAGTATTGAATGAGTATGTTTATACAATATGAGGAATTTAAGGGAAGAAACTTAGTCTTGAAAATTGTACTCCACCAAGTCACTTAGCAATGAGTTAAGAAAGAAACGGCTCTAAAACCATGGAAATTCAAACTCTCAGGAAGCAGCTTAATACAGCTTTGACAGGAGACAGATAGGGAGAAAGTTTAATTCTGTACTTTTAACTCCGTAGTTTCCTCGACTGTAAATAGAAATAATGTCTCCTTTCTCCCAAGATTATTTAAAAGATTATATGGGCATTGAATTCTAAAGTAACTAATGAAGATATTAACATATTTTACAAAATCGATATATGCTAGTTGTCCTCCCAAGTCATCTTTTGAAGTCTTTGACTTTACTTGATTGAACAAGAATTTATCAAGTGTTCATTCTATATCAGAGAGTATACTAAGTACTAATGATGCAATGAGACTAAAATATATTACCTACCTTTAATAATAGCAGAAAAGACAGAGAGGACATGATAACTAGTGAAGCAGCTTATGCACTTGCATGAGAGTGTATAAAACACACATACAAAAATTTAATTCTGCTTTAAAAAATAATAAACAAGAAAAGTCACAAAAGGGTGACTTTAAGGTTTGACGTTGAAATATAAGCAGGAATTGGTCATAGCAAAAAACAAGCCACATTAGGAAAAATTAGACATTAATTCAGGAAAATTTGGATTAGGAAGTCTACTGTGTGCTAGATTCTGAACTGGCACCACACACCCCCGGGGAGAAACCTGGAGACGTGAACATACCTAGTGTCTTCCAAAAAGAACAAGCACATCCCACACACAAACATTTAAAGAAATCTTTATTAGTCAACGTGTGATTTTTAATTTTTTTCTTTTTTTTTTTTTTTTGAGATGGAGTCTTGCTGCGTCACCCAGGCTGGAGTGCAATGGTGTGATCTCGGCTCACTGCAACCTCTACCTCTCAAGTTCAGGCAGTTGTCCTGCCTCAGCCTTCCGAGTAGCTGGGATTACAGGCACCCACCACCATGCCCGGCTAATTTTTGTATTTTTAGTAGAGACGGGTTTCACCATGTTGGCCAGTCTGGTCTCTAACTCCAGACCTCAAGTGATCCGCCCACCTCGGCTTCCTAAAGTGCTGGAATTACAAGCATGAGCCATCGTGCTCGGCCAAATATTCTTAATTATTGTGCAAATGTGTGGACTTTGTATTGTGTTGGGAATGTTTTCCAGGGTTCTTCATAAATTTTAAATAAATATGCAGCCTTAAAACACAAGCATCCATGATAAATAAAATATATTTTGAAAAAGAATACAAAATATCTTTGTGAGCTAAGCAGTCTGAAAATGTCTTTTTTAATAAATAAAACACCAGATTCCAATCTCTCCAGCTCAACTGGTGGTCATAGCTGATGATGTAGGAATGAAATCAATTTAAAAAAAAATATGGTTTAGAATTTAGCAGATGTCACCAATAATGTCAAGAGTACATCAACCGAAATGAAATGCCATTTTAGTTAGGGCAAGCCTCATTATGAACTGAAAATGCTCAAGACATGGTCATGTTAAACTATCAAAAATCCTAGCATTTCCCTGGATGTAATTGTTTGTTTTTCTTTCTTCCTTTCTTAATGAAGCAATGGTCTTTTACAAAACCTCCTTTAAGCGCATCCAACGCAATAAAAGCTCAACATGAGATCTCCTTTTCAATCATAAGTACCTAACACTAAAACTGTTTCCAAATGTAAAGCCAAGAGAGAATCCAAATGAATAACGGTTTGCCTACTAAGCAGAGCTATGTGGCAGGCTGACATTTTCATGGAAAATATACTGTTCTCCACCTCCAACTTTTTTAGACATAGTGGAAAGATGTAATATTATTTATGTTCTTACCCCAATGCAAAAAGGAAGGAAGGAAGGAAGGAAGAGGAAGAAAAAAAGTGAGGGAAGAGAAAGGAAGGAAGGAAGAGAAAAAGCACGGTTGAAAATACAGCTCCTTAGAGTCTTCTAATACAATTTGTTAAAATTGTCATAAACCATTGTGATCACCAACTACTATTTTCAAAGGATTTTGTTTTAAATGCTCAAAACAGAAAATCAAAAACCCCAATGAAAACTAAACACTGCACCTCATTTACAAAATAGGTAGACTGTGATAACTTCTTATTGTACGAATATTTGGATATACTTTAAATAGGATTCCATTTTTAAGTTAAAAAACCTGATACAATTAAATCTTTTAGGAATTACTACTGCAGTATATAAACCAAACTGCACCTTTGGTGCCTTTGCAAATGCAATAGTGTAATAATAGAGAGAAGTTCCTAGGAGACAATGGCTAAACAAATGTACATTTTTCTTATTATAAAACTCTGTCCATTTATAGTTATGTAATAATGAGCCTTGATAGTTTAACATGCTTTATATAAAACTGTAGAATCATTTAGGCCCTTTACAAACCATTAAGATTATCAGCTCTGATGTGAATCATACAAAAATATGCCTATGTCCCTGTTTCAGTCCCAAGATAAAACTATTTTAAGTGAGTCATCAATTCCAGATTTTCAAAGTCAAAATATCCTCACAAAGGGCTCAGCTGAGTCTTTTGAACACAGGTATGAAGTACAAAGTGAATCTAAACCAATGTTACCCCTACCATACAGGTATGTTGTGTTCACAAACACACACACACACACACACACACACACCCTAACTCAATGTAGTTTATTCAATTTTATTTTTACATTTTTATTATTAATTTTTATTCGGTATTTTCATTATTTTAAATTTTATTTCCTTAATCCAGGTATATTCACTTAACTGTCTTATGATTTTGCAGCTATAGTTTATTTTACCCTGATTTTAATATTAGTTTAAATATTTTATCCTTTATTCTTTATTATTCAATTCCCTTTAACTATTTGTATCAATACATAAGGTTTGTACATAGTTATGTGGTACATGTGATATTTAGATTCATGTATACAATATGTATTGATCAAATCAAAGTATTTAGGATATTTACTCAAATATTTATCATTTATTTGTGCTACGAAGATTTCAATTCTTCTACCTATTTTGAAATATACAACATATTGTTAACTATAGTCACCCTACTGTGCTATCAAACACGAGAACGTATTCCTTCTATCTAACTGTATGTTTGTATCCATCAACCAACCCCTCTTCATCCCCGCTTTCCACCCCGCAACCCACACACACCCTTCCCAGCCTCTGGTAATTATCATTCTACTCTCTACTTCCATGAGATCAACTTTTGAAACTCCCACATGTGAATGAGAACATGTGATATTGTCTTTCTGTGCCTGGCATATTTCACTTACCATAGTGAACTCCACGTCCATCCCTGCTGTTGCAAATGACCGGATTTCATTCTTTTTATTCCAGGGCATTTCTAATAGTTTTTTTTTTGTATTTTGTTTGTTTGTTTGTTTGTTTTTGAGGCAGGGTTTTGCTCTGTCTCCAAGGCTATACTGCAGTGGCTCAATCTCAGATTTCAGCTCATTGCAACCTCTGCCTCCCAGGCTCAAGTGATACTCCCACCTCAGCCACCCAAGTAGCTGGGATCACAGGTGCACACCATCACACCAGGTTAATTTTTTGTATTTTTGATAGAGACAGGGTTTCGCCATGTTGCCCAGGCTGGTCTTGAATCCCTGAGCTCAAACAATCCTCCTGCCTCGGCCTCCCAAGGTGCTGGGATTACAGGGGTGAGCTACCATGCCCAGCCTCTAACACTGTTTTTTTTTTTTTTTTACAGACATTTATAAGTAACTTTTACTTACAGATACTAAGAAGATACTTGAGCACAGCAGAGAAAGTCATAAGTACACAGTCCAAAAGCCATAAAGAAAAGACAGAAAGAAATCTTTGAATGATTTTGTATTAAATCACCCCAAATCCCAAGTCAGAGATTTCTTAGGCTAATACGAGATAAGATAATTTATCCTAAAATCACCATTAGGCAACGGTGGCTGACAAACCCATCTTGATTCCATTTAGACAACAGTCTAGGAACTACATGGATAAAATTACTCCTGCAGGAAGATGACAAACTAGCCTCCAAAATAGCCCAGGTGAATGCAAACAAAAAGATTATCTTGTCTCTGGGACGATTCACAACCTCTCCGATGAGGCAGGTAGATATACAAATAACATGATCTCTGAGTACAATTGTATAATTGTGGACTTTTCTCCTGAGCAAACCAGCCATAGACAGACAAGAAGGCATATGGAACTTTCCTAAATGAGTCTTTCTACTCAGTTTCAAAACGACTAATAATACAAATAACTGAATACTTCTGAACCTCCCTTTCAACGTTTTTGGAAAGATACACAACACCCGGGGCAATTGAATATAGCTGTGAACAATGGCAGAGCAGATCCCAACACTAAATAGCCATATGACTTGGAACAAACTGCTTACCCTCCTGAAATTTCAGTTTACTTACTCAGTCATAGAATTCACCTCATATATTACTGCTGAAGTGTTAAATGAGAGCACAAATGTGGAGTGTGTCCGGCACTCAAAGAACTCAATAAATATAATTAGTTAAAAAAAACTAAGCATCAAAATTAAAGTACTGGAATCTTTTTTATGCTGGTCCATTCCAGAATAAACTTGAATAAATAGAGCTATTTCACTTCAGGAAAGGAATTTAGCTGGGTACAGTGGCTTATGCCAGCACTTTGAAAGGCCAAGGTGGGAGGATCACTTGAGGCCAGGAGTTCAACACCAGCCTTGGCAAAATAGCAAGAATCTGTCTCTACAAAAAAATAAGAAAAAAAAAAGTTGAGCATGGTGGTACACACGTGTAGTCCCCACCACTCAGGAGGCTGAGGTAGGAGGATCACTTGAGCCTAGGAGGTCAAGGTTGCAGGCAGGCAGGCAGGCAGGCAGGCAGGCAGGCAGGCATAGAAAGGAAGGCAAGAAGGAAGTAAGACAGGAAGGCAGGAAGGCAGGAAGGAAGGAAGGAAGGAAGGAAGGAAGGAAGGAAGGAAGGAAGGAAGGAAGGAAGGAAGGCAGGAAGGCAGGCAGGAAGGCAGGCAGGCAGGCAGGCAGGCAGGCAGGCAGGCAGGCAGGCTGGCTTAGATATTCCTCACATGTGAGCCTCCCCAGTGTGCTCTCTTTATAACAAAAATCAAGAAAATGCTATGTTGGATATGCTCCCAAATAGGTTCTACAATTTTTTAAAACAATTTCAAACTTTATAATTTTCAAAATCTTAGTTTGCAATGGACATCCTGACAGGGTCTAAAATTGTAAGTCAAATGAATGTGTAATTAAACAGCTTCCCCTAAACTAGTTGGTCTTTTGAGGATGACATAAATAATGTGGAATTACTTTTTTAATTTAAAAAAAAAACTTTTTTCTTGATATGGAATTCATCTCAACATAACTAGCCAGTGGTTTAAATTTGAATTTACTACAGCACCGAGGAAGAGGCTGGGCAAAGACCAAGAGTCGCACAGAACAATGTGGGTCAGCTGATGAAAGGAGAAGGAAATGATAGTTTTCTATCTTTCTGGTGTATGGTCTTAAAGCAGTTCGTTATCTGTTACTTGAAAGAGAAATGCTAACCCAAAGAACTGTTAGAGACTTCTCTTAAGGGACGAATCACAAAGAGATGATGAATAAAGGGCAGGAGAGCAAGGCATGACTGTAACAGCTTGGCCCTGGGTGAAGCTAGACAAAAAATTTCAGAAAAGCCCCAACTCAAAAATTACAATGAAAGTAAGTTGTTGTGTGCTTTCTAGTCATCAAAAGTGTTCTAATAAAAAATGAGTTCTCAAATAAACCATACTAGAAATAAACATTTTGGCATTATAACAGGATGTAGTTTAATTAAATAAGTCAACTAATTGACCAAATTATTCAGTCAACTGGCCAAAATGAGAAAGAGGAAAAAAAAAATATATATATATATATATAGCAACAATTTTACCTCTTAACACTTTGTGAGAGTCCCAGGTAAAGCAACAAAAGATATGAAAAAAATCAATCCCTTTTTTCAATCCAAAAAGATAATTTGTTGCTCTTTGGGTCTCGACCAACATTTTTCCAAAGCACTGTTTTAAAATCTCAAGATAGTCCCCAAAAGACTGGTAGATAGTTTAAATTTCATTTTAAATTACAGTTTTAAATATTTGTATTAAGATTGGAAAATAATAAATTAACCATAATAGCAATTAAAACTATACTAACAAGTAAAATAATCCAACTGAAGGAAACTTTTACAATATATTTCACCTAATGGAGCTTAAAGAAAATCAGATTTGAAAGTTTTGCGGAGGAGGAATATTCAGAGACACATATAGTTTCTAAAGACAATTTTTGACATTGTCGCTTACTTTAGAAATTGGTGTAAAGCTGCTTTCTCTAAAACGACTTTTCTTTTCCATGCTTTCAGTATATACTGACACTAATTTCATCAATTGAGATTATTTATGGGACTTAAATAAAAAGGTGCAGTGGCGCTAAATAATAAGTGCTAACAATCACTGTTGAGTGATTTTTTTTTTTATAAAATGATATGCTGAGAACTTCACATGCATTTTTTATTTTAGCCTCCCATTTTATAGGAAACAAAGGCACAGAGTACCAGGTAACTTGCCAAGATCACCGGATAGGAAAGGGATTAAAACCTAGGCAGTATTTGTCCTTCTGTGACTGATAAGATTTTGCTTTGAGTTATCTAAATTAGTCAAACTCATAGGAACAGAAAATAGAATGGTGGCTGCCAGGGTATGAAGAGAAGGGGAAACAAGAATTGCTGTTCAATGGATATAAAGCCTCAGTTACGCAGGATGAATAAGGCCCAGAGATCTGCTGTACAACGTTACACCTATAGTTAGCGATACTGTATTGTGCACTTAGAAATTGTTTAAGAGGGAAATCTTGTGTTTTTAATTTATGATGGTTAAGTATTCCTACCATCAGAGGCATCCTAACCAGAGTCACTCCATCTTGAATGAAGGTGGGAAAAAGTCAAATCTGCTGGGTTACTTTCCCTGGGGTTCAGCACTCTTGGTCACAAGATATTCATGGTTGAGGGACTAAGTTAATAGTGTTAACTAACTGTATAAGACCCAGAACTTATGGAAATGCCCTAGTACTTTAAGAACAAAAACCATTCTTAGTTTGAGAATAGGTTTTGCTTTAAAGATAAGCGTAATATAAGAAAGTAACAATATTAATAGCCTGCCACAAGCTAATCACAAACCATCATAAAAGAGTACATCAAAACCTATTTATATAAGCAAGCATTGTATTTGAAATGGCGGTGTGCCTCCTCTTGCATTCTGAGGACACCCTACTCTGCAACTAAGTAGTATCTAATAAACTATGTTACCTTCACTATACTATACTCTGCCACTCGCCCTGAATTCCTTTCCATGAGAGATCCAAGAACCCACTCTTGGGGTCTGGGACAAGAACCCTTTTCCGGTGACATTACCACAATAAATAAAAATAAATTACATAATTAAATACATTTTTAAACAAACAGGTCGACTCCAAAGCCTTAGCGATTATTTAGGCGGTAATTAAGCTGACCCAAGGCAGGAGGAGAGTGTAGAATAAAGATGTTCTTGCTAGAAAGAATAGAATGAGACAAAACTAAATGAGTAGCAGGCAGAGAAATAATGAAGGCAGACCCAAAATAGCAGTATAGGCAGGGCTGATGAGGGGGTGTACCGAGGTATAGCATAGCAAATGGGCTATGAGGAGTGTGAATATGTGGAATTGAAACAGCTCCCACCTTCGGCCAGAAGCTGTCGCGATTCCCAGAAGGGCAGGGTTAACAGGACACAGTCATCCCTCGCATAGGCGGGAGAGATCAGTTTCAAGATCCCAGCTTATACCCAAATCCGTGCATACTAAAGTCCCACAGTCAGCCCTGAAGAACCTGAACATCCGAAAAGTTGCTTCTCCCCATATACGGGTTTCCCATCCCGGGATACTGTAATTTCAATCACCATTTGGATGAAAAAATATCCGGGTATATAAACGGCCCCACGCAGTTCAAGCCCGTGTTGTTCAAGGGTCGGCTGTGCATACATTGGGGCTGATTCGCTCAGTCAAACCACCTAACATCACAGACGTTTCTCAAAGAGAGTCTTGCCTGTAGGTGACCTCCACTGACATCTCTACCTCTGCTAAGGAGTAAAGGAATAAATGAAAATTCTGCGTGCCACTTTTGAATGGATGCCAACCCTTGGCTCTTCATTCTACCTACTCTTATACACACAGTAACACTCTAAACCATAATAATTCTACTGTAAGTTTCTTCTTTGAAATGGCAATCGCCAGCAGGGAATTCTGTAAGAAGAATCTACTCTATCACTGCCAGGGCACACAGAATTTTGAATTAAGGAAACAGCTGGCTGCTTGCCACAGGCAGGAAATGGAGAAGAGCCAGTCAGCATTCATCTCTCTACTTCTGTCCAACTAACTACTTCTAGCTCTCTTCATCTGCCTTCATCTTACCTCTTTTGATTTGGGGATTGAATCAAAGAGCTGTTGTGCACCTCAGATGCAATGGAGTATCAACTTACAAAAAGATACAAACAGTGAACTAGGGCTGCCCCAGGTGCCAAGTTAGGCTGAGAAAAGCCTAAAGACAAAGGAGTTCAGGCTGCAAGACTGAAACCTGAACACACTGATGAATACAGTACCACTACTTAAGCTCTTACTGATCAGCTGCTTCTGAATTAATCACCAAATAATGGGCAGCATTTACAGAGAGCTCCTAGTACTCCTGGTACACAAAAAATACTTCCAATAGTTGCATCAACTCTGGGAAGAAGTTTTGCTTTCCCATTGAAACAGAAGTTTAGAGAAAAAAAAAATGACCATATAATTATTCAGTGATGGATCAGTATTCCAATTAGAACTCCAAACTTAACGTTCTTTCCATTAAACAGTGGAATAATACCAGGGAAACACTGAGATTTGCTTAGAAAGTACTTTGGAGTGATCAAAGAATTGTTTTTAAAAAAACGGAAAAATTTCTTAGAAGATCAGGATTCCACTAAATGGTCATAAGTTCTTTATTAGATGGGAATCAAACATTTAGGAGCAAAATTGATTGAACAGTTATGCATTTCCCCTTCCCCTTCCTGCTTCACATATTTTACAATGAAATTACTGAAGTGGTGGGGTGGGGGGCTATGAATGAGCACGGTAGATAACACCTGTATCCAAAAAGACTACAAATAATACAATGAGTGCAGAAACTTTGATTCACCATTGAGTACCCAGTCAAGAACAGAGTCTGGCCAATATATTTTTTAATAAAATAATTCATTAAGAAAAATGGAAAACTATTCCCACTAATGTAATTTGAAACAATAATCCTTAGTACATAGAACTAATTCAAGCATGAAAAAATTACAGTAGGTTTCAGATAATAGAATCTCCTTCAAAATGCTTTATTCATGATTTCTGCTATGGTTTAATAATTCAAAAACCTATGCTTTGGGGTAAAGAGAAAGTATCACAAAAACAGTCCAAACACCAAGGAGTAAAGCCTACCGATTACAATGAATGACAATCTGTGACCCTGAGGATAATTATATGCTGCCCCTAATTAGTCTTCCAAAAGTTTGAGAATTCATCTGCTGAAAGTGAAAATGCAGTTGCAAATAGATAGACTTCTAAACATCTGAATGGTTCCCAGAGTAAATAATTAAATATATTTGGTCTGTAATGGACCTCAACCATGTGCTAATTCCAAGCTACTACTTTACATTCACATTCTGATTGTGATTTACATTCTGACTCATACTAGAAGCAGAAGAGTAGACAAGAAAGAAGAATATCCCACCCTATCTTTTCCTTTTCTTTGAGTTAGCTGCCTGTAGAAAATATTCAAAGTACCACTGAGCCTTGAACAACAGAGCTGGAACTGCACAGGTCCAAATATGTAGATTTGTTTTTCAACCAAACCAGAGAGAAAATACAGTATTTGTGAGACTCAAAACCTGCATATCCAGAGGGCCAACTGTTCATACATGTGGATTTCATGGGGCCAACTGTAGGACTTGAGTATACATGGATTTTGGTATGGGCAAGGGGGTTCTGGAACAAATCCCCATATTTACCCAGAGACAACTGTGGTATAAATTAGCCTTTGGCATCCTTTCACCTCCATTTTCTTGCAAAGCTCCTGCTACTTAATTTCTTATCTCTCAAGGGTTCCAAACTGTCTTCATGGTAGGTTATGGATGAGAGCTTGCCTCAGCTAAGGATTCAATGCTATGCAATTGCTTAGATCCTCTTTCTTTCTCAATCAAAACTCTTTCCCCCGATTTCAGATGAGTGTTAGAAAGGAAACAATGCAATTAACTCATGCTAAAGTATGATTTTTAAATCTAATTTTTAAAATATATTTGTATGTTTCAAAAACTTGTTTTAACATACTAAATGCAATATAGTGAAATTTTCCCATTCTGCAAGTAACTGCTGCCATTAGTATCTTGTGAATCCATCCTTAATTTCTATGTATATCTGTATGCGTGTGTGTATATATACAATCAAGAAGAAATATATGTCATTTCTCTCCTTAATAGAAGGTAGTACACTATATGTGCTGTCAGACACCTTTATTTTTTATCTTTAATAAAATGCCTTGACCTTTCCATATCAGTATATAAAGAAAGAACTGCCTCATTATTTTAATTTTTTTAACAGCTGGAGAGTATTCAACTGTATAAATGGACTACAATTGATTTAAGTAGTTCCATGCTGATGGACGTTTAGTGGCTTTTCAACTTTTGCTATTAAAAAAAAAATACCACGGTGAATATCTTGTACGTAGACATTTTGAATAAATTCCCAGGGAAGGTGTTGTTAGATACAGCCATCTGTATTTGATGGATGCTGCTAAATTACCCCCTACACTGTGTGTTCCAACTTACACACCAAACAACAGCATATAAGAATTGCTGTTTCCAAAATCTATGCTAATATAGAGCCACATCAAATTTCTGAATATTTGACAATCTTAGAGGTGAAAAAAATGACAATTCTTATGATTTTAATTTGCATTTCTTTGTTATAAGGATTATTAAGCCTCATTTTAAAAATCTGCTTAAAGGTTTATATTTCCTTTTCTGTAAATGGTTCATATCTTACCAACACTATGAATTTTGGGTAGCCACTTAAACCTCTGAAAAGCATTCCATGTTTTCTAAGGAGACTCAGTCACCCAAATTAGTCTGTAAACGGTGCTATTTGAAAAAACATGAAGTGAAATGGAAACTTTAGGCAGTTGTGGGGAGAACATTCTACTGGGCAAAAGTAAGCAACAAAGAGATAGTTTAGCCTTGTCTAAAGGTCTTTGAAGTGCTCTTTTATTAATCAAAAAAAAAACAAAGATTAGAAAATTAAAACAATTGGCAAACAGCATTGGTTTTCATGTCAAGGACCAGGGCCCACCCTCAAGTCCCCTCTCCCCTAGGCCTTACATTAAGGCCTTTCATTCTTGACCAGCTAGTCTCTCCTCTAGATAGTGTAGAAAAAAGCTAATACACATAAGCTTGGGAGTCAGATCTATCTTCCATGAAACTAACAAAAGTATAACACAGTCCGCAAACAAGGATTCACAAGATGGATTCACTTCTAAGAGTCAACCAAAAGATTAGTAATTTAAGACGATATATACAGAATGGTTTACACATGAAAGAGAGCTAGACAGCTGGTTTTGGTCACTATTGCAGTAATAACAAAAGATTATGAAAGCACAAATGGTCTGTACTATCATTCTAAAGAGAAGCCATCAGAAAAGAAAGCCTAGAAAAATGGTTCAGAAGAGACCACAGTGGACACCAACACTCAGTAGCTATAAGCCCAACATGTAAATAACAATCAAAACTAAATCTCCAGAGATCTCTGACTTCCAAACTCAGACCGATCTAGGAGTCATCAAAAGTCAGATCTCAAGTGTTAACTCCATATTTGAATAAATATCAGAAAAGACAAGTAAAGATGAATACTGCTAGACATGTCTTCAAAATACTTCATAATGTTCTTTACAAAATTCTGAATAGAGTTGTACATTTGTTTAAAGTTTAAATATGCAAAAGATAGTTCTGGAATGGAGTAAAGCAGGTAGACTTTCCTCCCTGAATTCCCTGCACGCTGTCAGGTTAAATTCTTCTAGCCTTGGGGCCACAGTCACCTCATTTTTCAATTCATTGCCTACCTCCTTTTGCAGCTCCCTCTTTCATCATTTTATCTCTGTCCACCTTCTTTTCCTTCAATGGTGGTGGGATCAGCATTGACTAGGGATCTAAGTCCAACATCTAACCTCCTCCTAGACCCCATACCCACCTCAAGTAAACTATTTTTCAAATAGGTAAACATTTGCATGTTATCAAATGCAGCTTCAAAACAAGTCCATGGCCCTCCCACCTACAACTATATGGCCACCCATAAGCCCTCCTATATAGGAAACTGGCCACCAGTGCCCATAAAATATACCTAATTATTTCTGGCCCTGTATACTTGTACTCTACCAAACACCTATCTCATTTCTCCCACACAGTGGTGAGCTTCCAAAGAATAAAAGTGCATCTTCATACATAACGAAAAGTATCTTCAAACTAAACTTGTGCAAAAATGGTAGTACAATCTGTACTATGCAGCCTCTACTATATCCTGAGCAGAACAACTGAGGATAGAGGCATATAAAGGGTTAAGGGAAAAAGTCTAATTCATTCACCGATGGACCCCTGCATCTTCATGGCTCTAATTAACATAGCCAGTACATTAATACAGTATCAGTTAAAGAATAATCAGGAAACTTAATGACTAATTGAGAAGAAAAACTAAGATTTATTGTAAAAGGAATTTGAATTTGTATAGCATTGGTGAAGCGCAAACATATGTGTACTTTCATCAGAACTGTAAAGTTCAGAACTTTAGTAATTGGTTACCATCTTAAAATAAAGCTGACAAATCAAGTTAAAATAACATGATAACATAGTACACTTCACAAAAAAAAAACCAAAAACAATAAGATTAATTATTTAAAATGGTAGCAGACAGGAACACTGAGGTCATTCTGAAAAACAGAATTTTCTTGGAATTTCACATGGTTATCAGTACACCGTCTTTAAATATGCTCAGTCTAAATCAGTAATAAGCACCACATCACAGATTACTGAAACACACAAGTCTTTATGATTCTATCTGCCAGGTACCTGGAGGAGGGAGACGTAAGAAGGAGATGAGGGAAGAGGGGTGAGGAAGTGAATTGAGAAGAAGAAAAGTAGGAGGGAATAAGGGATGCGGAGACTAGAAAAATAGAGGAGGAAAGAAGAGAGGAAAGGGGAAAGAGGAGGAGGAACAAAGTGGGAAAAGAAAAGTAAAATTATCATATTATAATCCAAAGGTACAAGTTGTCTGGAGCCTGGATTTGAGGGAACACTAGATTAGGGAGCAAGTATAGTCATCCAAGTGGCAGAGACTAAAACGGTGAGGTTGGGGTGAAATGCAATAAAGTAGAAAGATCTGTTATTAAACTAAATACAGCTTAATACTTGAAGGTGAGGCAGAGACAGAGAAGGAATTATGACTCCCAGGTTTCTGATATTAATCACTAACTGAGTCAAAGCCAGCAGGGAAGGTTGGAGGAAGAAAATACATATTTGTACAGGAATGTAATGATTTCAGTTTGCTATGCCTGGGAAATAAGCAAATAGAGATATGGAAAGAGTGAAAGTTTCCGGGGCTTGACAGAGACACTCTCCTAGACCAGATTTTTTTTTCTTTTGTTTTTGAGATGGAGTCTCACACTGTTGCCCAAGCTGGAGTGCACTGGCACGCTCTTGGCTCACTGCAACCTCCACCTCCCAGGTTCAAGCAATTCTCCTGCCTCAGACTCACGAGTAGCTGGGACTACAGGCACGTGCCACCACACCTGGCTAATTTTTGTACTTTTTGTAGAGACAGGGTTTCACCATGTTGGCCAGGCTGGTCTTGAACTCCTGACCTTGTGATCCACCTGCCTCGGCTTCCCAAAGTGCTAGGATTACAGGTGTGAGCCAGCACTCCCAGCCTTCCTAGACCAGAATTTATTCAGGCTCTTCTAAGCCCATTTCTCAACTAGGCCCCAAGAATGCCAGACGTGAATAGCCCAATGTTAGCAAAATCCTGCTTATCAGTTTAGTGAGAACCCTCCAACCTATTATACATCTGATCAAATTCCTCATTCCCCCGATTCCCATCCCCAGGTGATGTATCTCACCACCCTGGCTTGCCTTTAGCAAGAATTCTGTTAGGTCTGTTTAACCAGAATCCCCTTTTTCCTCTGAGATTTCCTCTTAGTAATTTTCCATTCACTGACTCCCAACCCTGCTTCTGTGGCTATAAATCCCCACTTGTCCATGCTGTATTCAGAAGTAAGCCCAGTTATATGCTGAGCCCTCTTTCCCTCTATTGCAATAGTTCCTGAATAAAATCTGTTTTTTATCGCTTTAACTACTGTGCAGCTCTGGTTTTCTTTAACAGGCTCAAAGAGAGGTCAGGACTGGAGTAACAAATTTAGAGTAATGAATGAGTTTATAGATGGTAAGTAAGAAATAATGACTTCCGAGGTTGAGCCAAGCAGAATGTCCAGAAAAGTAGAAGAAAAAACAGAAATGAAATTATGAAGAAAAGGGAAGTAGCTTCCTAAGGAGCTTGTTGCCAAAAGAGTATTTATTGTCCATTCAAAGAACAACAGATCTTCCTTCAAAGCCAGGATTTTCACACACCATTTATATGAGCAGGTGAAATTATTGAGAGAAAAGATAAGAATTTGAGTCTCAACACTTCATGTATAAAATAGTTCATTGGACTGCTAGGAAAATTAATGTACATATATTCCACATTTATATACAATACCATAAATATACTTACATATAAAGTATGTGTGTAGAGTATATATATAATTTCTGGCACACACTGATGCTCAAAAAAATGAGAGCTCCTTTCTATTATAGAATAAAAGGGCCAGGTGCGGTAGCTCATGCCTGTAATCCCAGCACTTTGGTGGGAGGAAAGCTTGAGCCCAGGAGTTGGAGACCAGCTGAGCAAAATAGCAAGACCCCCAACTCTACTATTTTATTTATATATATATATATATATAATTTATATATAATAGTATAAATACTATATATAATTTATATATAATAGTATAAATACTATATATAATAGTATATTATATAAATACTATAAAATAGCATTTATTCTCATCCTTTCTTTTATATATATGAAAGTATAAATACACTTACATATAAAGTATATTTGTA
The DNA here is from genome assembly GCF_000001405.40 of Homo sapiens. NCBI lineage: Eukaryota > Metazoa > Chordata > Mammalia > Primates > Hominidae > Homo > Homo sapiens. The sequence goes on from NT_187556.1 coordinate 794,718, forward strand.
TAATATGCTTATATAGCTGCTTCGTGACTTTTCAGCTTTAGGCATCATCTATTGTATTAGTCCCTTTTCACACTGCTCTAAAGAACTTCCCTGAGACTGGGTAATTTATATAAAGTATATATATGCTTACATATAAAGTATATGTATATATATATACTTACATATATACATGAAAGGATGAGAATAAAAATGCATTAAATGCATGTAGTTCTAATTACAGTATACATTTTTCTTCCTAATATTTGACCAACTTTTAGAAGCAAAGCAATGGCAATTATATATTTGATTTTTTTAAATGTTTTGAGTTTTCTTGTTTTGCCTTAGGAATGTATAGTGATATTTACATTATCATTATAGCTGTATGACCAGGTAAACCATATTAACAATAAGACTGCTTACTGTCATTGGTGGAGTCCACCAAATAATGGCTATTGGATGGGTAACAAACTGCTCCTGATGCTGAATTCTTTCACCTGTTTTCTTTTGTTTTTGAAACTGAGCAACAATTAACCTCGACAGGGTTGCTAGAAAATTCCAAGTATATAGACCTAACATGTTCCATCTTGTATAGGTTAAGACTGGGCCAGTTTTCTTCAATTAGAATCCTACACTGGCCTCTCACCAAAAGGCATGTTAACTGCAGAATCAGATCCAAGAGAAAAAGAAAAAAAAAAAATCTACCATTCTCTAAGTAACGGTGATGAACTCACCTATGACTTTGCAACCTGCACTTCTCACTAATGTTCTCAGATGTCTGGCTGGATAAGCGATTTCCAGATAAACAAGAGAAAGGGTAAAACCTCTTTCAGAAAACTCCCTCAATTAGCAATCACCTTCATTTAGCAGCAGCACCTCTACCATGCCAGCTGCAGGGGGAATTAATTAAATTTAATAGAAGCCACGGGGGAAGTAATTAAATTTAATAGAAGTCATGGATTCCAAATGAAGATAAACTGTATTTGTAATCAGACCTACTGTGTCACTTACTCCCAGGTCTGTAAAAGCATGAGCCAAGTACTGTACAAACCGCTTTCCACAGAAACACCAAGTTTCTGGATCACTCTGTCATTCTCACTTCAAAATGTAGAATAATTGATACGGCATGCTATGGAAAGCATTCCTAATTTTTTAAAAATTCTTTCTGCAAAATAAAAAGTCTGTGACACTGTTACATGTCAATTATGTGTAAACGAGCAGATCTGAATAGCACAGAAGCCGTAGCACAGACAAGAAGTAATGAGAGGTTGGCATGTTTGCTTTGGGAAGGAAAACTAGCAGCCCATTCATCTAAATGCAGTTATGTTTCAATTTAACTAAATTATAAGGTTTGAAATTAGCAATGCTTCAAGCACTCTGGGCTACCGCTCCCACCAGAACACTTCATCTTTAATACCTGCTCCAGCTTGCAAATAAAACTAAGGAAAACAGTAGGGGAAAAATGCTCAAAACAGCTTTTCTAACAACTGCAATCTTGTGTTTTTTACCCCTCAGAATATCTAAAGCTTAAATAAGACAAAGTCAAGTAATACTTTTTCTTTTCAAAACTATACAGTATATTCTACTGCATAGTTACTTAAATTTTTATCTTATTTATCATAATAAAGTGTAAGCTTCTTAAGGACAAGGATGATCCCAGTTTCAAGTTTCCTATTTCTAAAATACTTAGCACAGTGCTTTGCACATGGTGAGGGGGTACGAAAATGTTTATCATCCCACTTTAATGAAAAAAAGATAGCATCACTCTCTATGAAATCATTACCAACACTAAAAGCAGCTCCTGGTTTGAATAAGCAAGCTGTTATCTTGGTTGGTAGTGAAAAGCCCTGCCAGAATGCCAAGATTTCTACCTGACCTGTGAAATAAGAGAAATCCTAATTTTGGAGTTATTCTGAGGATTAAATTATATGCAGTTTATTAAAGTACTTTAAGAGAAAATAATAATAGCTAACATATAACAAGTCTCCACCATATGTCAGGCACCATGCTGAGCACTTTACATAGATCATTTCATTAAATGCTCACAAAACCACTAGGAGTTGGCTACTTTTTTTATCTCTAATTTACAGTAGAAGAAAGTAAGATTTAGAGATGTTACATAACTGATCTAGAGATCCACTAAATAATTAGTGGTCAGACCCAATAGCTAATGAGTGGTGAGATCTGACCCATGCTTAATCTATTATGAGTGCTTAAAGTAGCGGGAAAGCTGTGGCCATTTTTGAGTGTGCAGATTCAAAACCGTGCCTTTTTTTTTTTTTTTAGATGGAGTCTCACTCTGTCACCCAGGCTGGAGTGCAATGGCACGATCTTGGCTCACTGTAACCTCCACCTACCAGGTTCAAGCAATTCTCCTGCCTCGCCTCCTGAGTAGCTGGGACTACACGCGTGTGCCACCAAGCCCAGCTAATTTTTGTATTTTTAGTAGAGATGGGGTTTCACCATATTGGTCAGGCTTGTCTCGAACTCCTGACCTTGTGATCCGCCTGCCTTGACCTCCCAAAGTGCTGGGATTACAGGTGTGAGCCACCGCGCCCGGCCCATTCTTCCTAAAGATAAGAAACGCCTGTAGCACAAAAGCAAAGGCCTCTTTTTATTTGGAAATATTGGGGCCAAATAAACATAATAAAATACTCCATGACTCAGAAATATCCTTCTTTATGCTGTGGCAAATGCAAATGTCTTGTTCACATGGCCAGCCACCAGCCATGTTGGATGCCCCTTTATGCATTTCACCTCTAACGCACGTACACGCTATACTGACTCTCCCAGTAGATGACGGCCCACTATTCATGCCAGCGTCCTTAGGGCCTGCCATGTTACAGATGCTATAGATACTTCACAAATGCTTCTGAACTAAATAAAGAACTATTCATTTTTTATAACCTTGGTTCTGGAGTTCTGGAGAGATAATAAATGATGGCTATTTATAATCATTAACTCATCTGAGTATATAATTCCAACTGTTTAGCTGTTCTGCAAAGAATGTTTGGTCTTTTCATTTCACACCCTTTCTCAATTAAGCTGAGCTGTAACCAAGTTCCCCTATACATATTCCTATTATAGAACTCATAACATTTTTCTGCCCACTCACATCCTCCTCTGCTAAACTATAAAGATCTTACCTTATTCCTCTTTTATCCTCAGCACTCAGCACAAAGCATGCCACATTAGGCACTAAATAATTACTGGAAATAATTTATGCACAAGGCTTTGTATTAATAAGATGCTAGCTCCTTACCAACAAAAATCAAAGATTTTCTAATCTGTTTGGGATGAGACAGAGACAAGAAATTATGAATACCATTTACAACTTAAACTCTAATCACTGACCAAGCCCAAAAAGTACTAGCCAAGCAGAGCATTTAAGAGGGGTTATCTAACAAGATATTTTGCCTTCTCTAAGTGGCAAAGATGACATCAGCTTCTTATGTGTCACTGTCCAATGCCATGCCAGTTTTGTTTGTTTGTCTGTTTGTTTTTGTTTTTGTTTTTTTGAGAAAGAGTCTCGCTTTGTCACCCAGGCCGGAGCACAATGGCATGATCTCGGCTCATTGCAACCTCCGCCTCCTGGGTTCAAGTGATTCTCCTGCCTCAGCCTCCTGAGTAGCTGGGACTACAGGCACCCACCACCACGCCTGGCTAATTTTTTTTTTCCCCCAGTAGAGACGGGGTTTCACCATGTTGGTCAGGCTGGTCTCAAACTCCTGACCTCGTGATCCACCCGCCTCGGCCTCCCAAAGTGCTGGGATTACAGGCATGAGCCACCGTGCCTGGCCCGCCAGTTTTATAAAATGTGTTTAAATGTTTGCACTCAAGTGATTTTTTAAACATAAGCAAACACACATGCATCTGGAAAGGGCTTCACAAATCTCATACTTACACCATTGAAAAAGAGACTTATTTAAAACCCTTTTAACATTTTCTTCCTTCATCTATATCACTTGATATTATTTAAAAGAGCTCAATACCTATACTCATGTATTATTTTATGAGAATTTACTATTTTGCTCACTCATGGTATCTGATATCAATCTCTATAACCATTCTTAACACACCTAGAAGGACACTTTTTTCCAGGGCTCTACCTCATTCTTCAATGTTGCTTTTTTCTCCAAAACGGAAACCTGGATAAAAAAATGAAGGGGAAAATACAACAGTAGAAAATCCTAGAAGAAATTCTAATAAAATAATCTCATCTCTGCTCTCTAGGTAAAAACAATGATTTTTTTTTCCCAAGGTGCAATTTTTTAAATTGACTATTAACCAAGGGTAGGAATAAATATATAATATTTGCATGTGAATTAGGTGCTATGTTAACTCAGTAACTGAAAAGTCTAACACATTCACACTTACGCTGTTTTTGCCCATATGCTTACTTTGTGAGATAAAACTATAGTAGTACAAAAATCAGACAAAGAACTCTATAAGCTGGCTGGGTGCGGTGGCTCATGCCTGTAATTCCAGCACTTTGGGAGGGCGAGGCAGAAGAATTATTTGAGGCCAGGAGTTTGAGACCAGCCTGGCCAACGTGGTGAAGCCCCGTCTTTACTAAAAATGCAAAAAAAAAAAAAAAAAATTGCCAGGCATAATGGCACACGCCTGTTATTTCAGCTATTAGGGAGGCTGAGACACCAGAATCACTTGAACCCAGGTTGGGGGCGGGGGCGGAGGTTGCAGCAAGCTGAGATCACGCCATTTCACTCCAGCCTGGGTGACAAAGCAAGACGCATCTCAACAAAAAAAAAAAAAGAAGGAAAAGAAAAGAAAAAGAACCATATAAGCAGAGAAATGATATTAATACTTTGACAGTGGAGAAAAGTATGCCACCTGCTTAAACCATATTTGTGTCTAAGGATGTGCACACAGTTATGACAATGAGCAAGATCACTATTAAGAAATTCACTGTGAAGCATTATTGTACTCAATTTATTTGAAAATTAAAAACAAATTATCTTCTTCTCTGTAATAGCAATTTAATTTATCCAAGCTGTTAATGAACCAATTAAACAAAACCACTTGTTCTAATGCATGGAAGAAATTCTACTCTTAGAAATATATACCAAAATAATTTTCACATATAAGTATAATTGCTTTATCGTACACTATAACCTCCCCTGCCCCAAACCACGGATACTCAAAGTGAGTGTTTCTCAGGGCCCTCCTGGGGTCTTTGAGGTCAAAACCATTTCCACGTCATATTAAGGCACTACTTACCTTTTCCACTGATGGTGCAATGAAACTCTTGGTTGGTAAAACTGTTGATTCCTTTAGCAAGAACTAAGGCAGGGGCAACAAATTTTACTGGCAGTCATTTTACTTTTCACTGACATGCAATCATAGTAAATAGAACGCAGTTTCACTTGACAATATCTTTGATAAACATGTAAAATTAATTGTTAAAATCACAATCGTTATGTCATTTTAATATTCTGTATGATGAAGGAAAGTATACATAAAGCATTTCTGTTGCATATCAAAATAAGATGGGTTGTTTATCTCAAGGAAAGCACTTATGAGACTGAGATATGAGCTGAACTAGCCACTCTTTTCATGAAACGCCATTTTTACTTGACTGATTCACTGAAGACAAACTCTTCCCAAGTGGTCATGACCAACGTTTAAAATGAGAAAAGGAGTAAGCCTGTCACCTCAAGAAAAATAAGTGACAATGTCTGTTGCCAATGACAAAATTTGAGCTCTTAAGCCAAAAACGGTATACTAAAAAATTTAATCCACCATCCTGAGCTTGACAGCTTTCCAACTCTTAAAATACTTTGATATTAAAAATCTGATTGTTTGATACATAATGAAATATGCCAACGTGGGGAACATCTAAATAACTTAGCAACTTGATATTTTCCAATTGACCAATACATGATGTTTCCAAATCATGCATAGGTAAAAGATCCACCCAAACTACAAAAAACACCAATCTATTTTAACAAAACAGAGTATAAATTGCTCACTGATAAAGTTTTAGATTCTGATTCAAACTCTTAAGAAATTATAATCTGTAGACTTTTGGCATAGTATAAAAGAAGGATATACACAATTATTTGAAAAGTCTATAAAACACACCTCCTTTTTCCAACCACATATTTGTGTGGGGTGAGTTTTTTTAATACATTCAAACAAAACAAAATATGAGATTGAATGCAGAAGAGGTACAAAAATTTAGTCTTCTAATAAGCTAGAAACTGAAGATTTGCAAAATATGTTAAAAAAAAAGCCTCGGTAAATTTTTTTTGTTTGTTGTTTATTTTGGAAATGTAGGGGTTTTATTTCCTGCAAAAATACGTTTTATGCTAACATGTAATGGGTTTTTAATTATTGGTTTTCTAATCTCTCAGTTTTAATTTCTTATATGGTAAATATTGATAGACATAATCCACATAAACCTAAGTTATTTTAGACTGTCAGTAACAATTTTAGGAGCATAAATGGGTACTTGAACCAAAAAGTTTGGAAACCACCGAACTAAGTCTAGCTATCTACATTATAGCATGGTTTTCAATAGAATTTTTACCACAATCTTCTAATAAAATGAAAATATGCTTTTCATATATACACATAAAGAAAACCTACCAAATGCCAAGCACCATGTTTATTCTTCAGGATGCAAGATAAATATACTTTATTTTTGCCCTCAAGTTGCTTATAGTTTTGTAAAAAGATATGCTAGTCATTCTAGAACTATTTGAGGACCGGCCACATGGCAGCTTGAGCCCTCTCCTAAAGTCTCCAGCACTGTTCTGCCTGTTCAAATGCTTCTTACAGTTCTAGTGCCACCTTTCATCTCTGCTTATCTTATTTCATGTGTTTTCATTTTGGTCCCCTTTCACTTTCTCTGTATTTCCCAACTTGCATATAAAAGGTCACCCTCCCCCTTAACTAAGCATGGTCATCCGAGTCCTCTCTTCTTTTCACTTAAAATATACACAAGTGCATTTGGTACTTTTTCCCCAGTTAATAAGTTGCTGGTTGTTGACTGTGTCTTCCCTTCCAAATGGGCTTTTAGGGATGCATTACATTCTCTTTATAAGGTTTTAATTATCAAATATTTTGATATGGTAAAATTATATACCTATACAACCTAAGCTTCAATCGCTGGGGAAAATAATCCAAGCTTACTTTTCTTAAATTCACATCCCACAAGCATAATGAGGCAAACCATGCAAGACACAGCAAGGTCTTTTACTGAGTGCTCATTTCCAAATAATGAGAAACACCTATTGAAAAATCACAGCAAAATTCTGAACTGATCATGATTAGTCAATACCTTATTCTTTCACTGTCCAACACCAGGGAGGAACTGAAAAATGAAAACAAGCACACTATAGAGATATGACCATATTTTCATATTGAGGTAATTAATTGGGCCATATTCTATAAAACTTGTGTTGTTATTGCTATATAGGTTTCCTGTTTTGGATGGAAAACAACCTTAAATTGGCTTCCGGAGATGGCTACTCTCCAACCTCTCTTAATTCCTATTAACTCTTCCTCTGCCCAGTCAGCATAATGTGATTAAGAATAAAGATCTACATAGTCAGAGGAACTTTGGTTCCAACTTCACTGTGTCACATTGAGTACTAAATTTCCTTAAGCCTATTTCCTCAGAGTTAATAACAGCTGACCTGCAGATTTAGCGATTAAATGCTATCATGAAGGTATGTAAATAACATTGTGACCATCACCTTATAACCACTTTGAAAATGCTAGCTATATTGGTCTAATCAAAATACCACTACTGTAGACAACTGTATATATTTCCATTTTCCCATGGCAGAATCTGAATATTACAAACAGTCATTCCATTTCTTTGTCTCAGAATGGAAATAGACAAATCTACAGGGGGAATGGGATTAGACATGTGAAATATCCCACTCTGAGAAGAGCAGAGAATTGGGACTCACTGCATAGGCTCTGGATCTCCCAACGTCTGCACCCCTTAGCTCCAGCCCAACCCTTTGCTGGACCCATAACTTTAGACAAGTAGATAAATTTTAGCTTCTGTTGCATTAGGAATTAGATTACCTACCTCATGAGGTGTTATGAGGGTAAATAAGCTAACGATTGTAAAGGGCCAAGCTCAAAGCCTGGCACAAAATAAATCCTGAACAAATGTTAACATTATTTTTTGGTTGCCTTTGGAGTGTTTCTTCTACAATTCATTTACCTTAGTTTGTAAGATGAACAAATATAAGGAAGCACCTCCCAAAACTCCCCTATAGAAATGCTTCGAAAGAAATCCATATGCTCTGATAAAGTTTGGCAAGAGGATAAATAATGTGGCAAAAACAAAATAGCCACCCTGTAAATGTGCTTTTATAATAAGTAATAAAACTTTGGAATTTGGGATGTATCCAAGCTCTACATTGGTGCTACTCTACCCAAGCTGCATGTAAGAATCACATGGAGAAACTGAAAACTATGATGCATGCAGGGCACCAACTTAGTATGCTGAAAACTGATACATAAGGAAGAAAATTCTTCCACCTTGCCATTAAAAACTGTGGTTCCAGGTAACCAAATAGCCCTGGCAGGTAAAGCAAAGTTCTTCTATAGAAGTTAATTCCAGACACTCTATGGATAAGAAAGAATAAGACACAATACACAATAACATATGGATATATAATAAGAAAATCCCCATTTTGCAGCCCTTAATGGAATAAAGCAACAGCAACGGTCTTCAGCGAAGGGCAAAACCTTTAGTTTTAAGAGACCTCCGTCCCTTGCCCCTTCAGCCAAGTGAGGACATAGCCAGAAGACAGCTTCTATGAACCACAAAAAGGGCCCTCGCCAGACACCAAATCTACTGGCACCTTGACCTTGGATCTCCCAGCCTCCAGAACTGTGAGAAATAAATTTCTTTTGTTGATCAGCTACCCAGCCTCTGGTATTCTGTTATAGCAGCCTGAGCAGACCAAGACAGTTCAGATGCTGCTAAGCAAACTTTGATGATAATTTAAAAAGAGTTATCTAAATAGCAAAGATTTGTGATGTAATAATGAAACATCTCAAATACACAGGCTTTAGGCCAGGCTAATGCTAACCAGCCATCTTTTTGCTTTATCAATACCTTATTTAAAAATATTTGTTATTTATTTGTATTGCAATATGATTTACATGCCATAAAATTCATCATTTTCAAGTGTACAACGCAGTGGATTTTAGTGGATTTACAACCATCATTATTGTCTAACTCCAAAACATTTTCATCACCCCAAAAAGAAACCCCATACCTGTCAGGAGTCACTAATTATCCTTTAAAGAGATATACCTAATAAAAAATGTTATATTTACTAATATAGGCATCTCAGCACTGTTCTTTTGTGTAGATCCATACTTCCACCTGGTATCATTTACCTTCTGTCTGAAGGAAATCCTTGAATATTTCTTGTAATGTGGGTCTGCTCATGATAAGTTTACTCAGCTATTTTGCTTTACTTTTTGAAAGCTATATTAACTTGATATAGAATTATATAACCAGACATCTGGTCCTGAAGAAATTTTTTTAATGCTCTCCTTTTACTCCAAATTGACTAATCTGAAAAATAAGGATTCCTCTGGGGATTAAATGTAGGGCTGTATATAAAAGCCTTTTGCAAAGAGTCAATCTCTAAGTAGAAAATATTAAATATTTTAAAAGGCAATTAATAGCATATAAAACAAACTATTCTAAGTAACTCAGAAGCTTAGTTTTTCTAGCTCCTAAATGATGTTAATTATGTATCAGAAAAATAATAAAACTTATTGTATACAAAATTATTATGTGATTCAGACTTTCAGTTAATTCAAACAGGTGTTGCCCACAAGTCATCTAAATTAGCAAGTTTTTACTGCAATGCTATTAAGTTGCACAGAAAAAATAAATAAATAGATCCAAAATGGGTATATTTGCTGATTTGAAATCTCATTATAAATTCTTATCATTAAATACACTCATTTTCTTCTTAGTCTCATGTCAATTCTCTGCTTTCCTGACCTTGAAAGCAGGTATATTGCAGGTAGAAAACTATCATTCCCACTTAGGGGCTACAGTGAGATATGCTCAAATTTGGAAAGACGCTCCCCTTTTAATACTGAAAACAGTTAAAATTAAAGCATAAGCAGCATATCCTACTTCAGAAATGATCTATCAATCTATATATGAGCTCAGAAGCAAGTGACCTGACTCCAGAATCAGATTCAAATCCCAACTCCTCCACTTATTTCAGAGTGCGATTTGAAGCAAGTTAGTGCCCATTTCTCTACCTCTCCTTCCCTCTTGTTTTAATAGGGATACCAAAGGTCATACATTTGTAATATTCACACTCTAATGTCTTATGTAATATTTAATGGGAGGGTGAAGATATACAGTCATTTTAGAGGAGAGAAGAACACAATTTCTGGTGGTATTTGTCCAGCACAGTTAAGAGTTAGAAAATACTTTCCTCCTAGAGATGGCTATCAGGTACCTGGATAGAAAAAATGTCCAGACACAATTTATACAGCAAACACAATACTTTTGAACACCTAATTTAGGAACACCTAATCCAGGGCTGGTTCATCTAAGAGCCATATAATCTACAATGTGATCTCCCAGCGTGAAATCAGTCATCAAAAGAAGTTAATAGACAGAACCAGGGAATTATCACCAATTATTCATGATAAGTCAGTCTCTTTTCAGCTTGTTTTATCATGAATCGGGCTCCTCAAAACAGATAAATCAAAATGTTAACCCTGCAAAATTCAAGATCCAGCAGTGGAATGGGGTGACATCATCGATACTCTGAAAATCTGCCCTGACAAACTCTTGTTATGAGATCATAACAAGATTTTTCAACAAACAGACTTAAATTACCCACTATGTGCCAGGTACTATGAGTATAACAAAGACACAATTCCTGCCTTCACATTCCAGCCAGGGAGGCAGAAGCCCAAATGCACTTGAATATGAGGCCAGCCTTATGACAAGTTACAAACCAAGGGTTACAGAACAAAAAAGTATCAGAAATATTTGTAGATTCAACAAAATTTGTAAGTAGGAATCAAATGTAATTGTTTACCCTGAGTAAAAAAAATGAGTAAAACCATATCAGGAGTATCTAATAAAATACTAGATACTCTTTAATGCAGCACAAAAATGACATAAAAAAAGGAAGGCAAAGTACCAAAACACACTGAAGTTATGCAGTCCCTCAAGTATGGAAGATAAGATAACTATAATTACCATATTCTAAACAAAAGACACAGAGATTACATAATTTAAGGTTGAAGTACCATATACTTTATTTATATACATTACTAAACTAAAAGTATGATAGTTCTGAACTTGGACTATGGACAACTGCCTGGGTCTTTCCGGTTTTTAAGCAAACATTAGATGAGATTCAAAGTTTTACTTGCAACCATCACAGAGAAAGAAAATGTCCTTCATTGGCTTTTTACAGATAGAAAGAGAGAAGAGCATTCATTTATTCACTTCATGTGTGGTTTTATAATTTCCTCTTTAAAGGTAAGTCTAAATTTGAAAAATACATTTCCCAAAATGTTTCTATTTCCCTTTCTTAAAGACTTATGTTTCAATAACAGCTCCCAACCCACCCCTGTAATCCAAATCCTATTTGGTCCTGCAGTGAAGTTAAATGTAGGATCCTGACATCAATTTGTTGCCATGGAAATAATTGAGATGTCAATGTTTCCGCATTATGACTGTACCATAGGAGCAGATGGGCTGACAAGGGGGAAAATCTGCAAATATCTCTCTAATAATTAGCCAAAATATGAGGTAATATTCAAAATTTACATTATTATAAAAATCTGAGTCATATCTATCTAAATAGCACAGAATACAACCAATTTCAACTTCCAAGTTTACTATGGAAAATACTTTCAAAGTATACAAACAGGAAGGTTTACCATATTCTTTTATTCACTTGATTATGTTTTCTTGCTTGTTGCATCACTTTTTGTGCTGCATCTATAACCAAGTTCAGAATAAATCAGATTTGACAAAAGCAAACCTCATTCCACACAGAGAAGTAGGTAACAATATTGAGTAAGTTGAAGAGACAGACAGACTTAGTCCATCAACTGCTTTCTCTGTCTTACTAAAAATATTCCCCTTGTGAAGAATACTGGACTTGGCTAAGTAATCATATAGCTAATCACTTGCAATAAATTTTTGCCAGGTCCTATATTTGCCATTGTGCTTATGAATTTGTCCCAGAAAACTGACTACTTGAATACAAAGACCAAATTCTTTTCTGCATCCTCCACAATACTTAGCCACATCTCCCAGACTAAGCTGAATTAATAGTCATTTATGCATTCACATACAGATAATTTTTTCCTAAAAATGACAAGAGTTTGTTTACTTAGATAAAAATAGGTCTAGAGATTATATATAGGTGCACATATGCACAGATATGTGCCTAAATCATGAAAATTGTCACTTGCCTGATCTTCATAAGGTACTGTCATTTGGAACCTCTTATTCTACCACCTACAGTGTGCCCTTTTTATCCAAACACGAAAACATTGTTCTTCCCCATTGCGGGCTAATTACGCCATCTGTTTAACCACAGTACTATTAATGTTAACTCCTTAACATTTCCACATGTACTGCCCTCAAACACCTTATACTGTCAAATATACAAATAGTAGAGAAGGCAAGAAAATCAGTCTCCCAATTTGTATTCTCAACTGTCTCTACTGGGTCAACACTATGGTCTCCATAGGGACTTGAACATTCAGAAAATTTCTCTCCATCTCTTACTTTAGTGGCACAAACTGTCAAGATGAATAGCAATAAGAAAATTGATCTCCCCACCTCCATCCAAACTAAAAATCAGGAAATATGTAAATGTTTTGGGCAAAAAAAGGAAACAGGGCCAGTATACAGAGAGCAGATGAAGAGTCAATCATCTGACAGGGATTGCTTATTCTTAAGATTAAGCCAGCTGTTTTATTCACTTTATTATAAAATAAGTTAATAAAAAGATGACACTCTCCTTACAGATATGAGTATGCAGTCATAAATACAGAATATATGGAAGATAACTCTACACTAAAAAATTTAAAATATACTCTAAGAAGAGTATAAACTACACATTTGTATAATATGACTTGAAATAAATGTCTACATTTAATTGCTTATAATAAGAAACCATGCCATTTGAAGCAGATTTTAAGTGTCCTTTTTATGTGCGCATGTGCACACGCACACACTTGCACACACACACAAAATGGCAACTGTGTGGTGAACGGTGTATTAATTTGATTGTAGAAATCACTACACAATGTATATATGAATTAAGTCATGATGTTGTACATCTTGACTATATGCAATTTGTATTGGTCAATTAAAATTCAATAAAACTAGAGGAATAAAAAAGAAACCATACCATTTGAGAGAATCACAGAGCATTTTTCAGTGTATTTGTTTGCTTACATATGTGAAAGAAATCCATTATGCTCTTCTCCTTACACTCATCTCTGTCACCAATGAAAAGGCACACACACAAACGACGGACATTTCTCATGGTCATTCAAATATTCCTTCTATTATTAAAGCTCACAGAATTTTGGAAATACATGCATTGACATTAAAATTATATATACACTTAAAAAGCCATCCTCATGGCTTGAAAATTGGAATGTTTAAATATGAGCAGTACAGGTTAAAAGTATCAGGAATCTATTGCAAAGGAAGAAAAAGATTAATGGTAAATGTGTTGGGAATCTTTGGCAGGCTCCTCATTTGGAAAATGAGTAGGATAAATTTCATTATCCCTATGTTCCTTCAAGTTTTAATATCCAATAAATCAAAAACATCTTCTTATAGTTATACGATCACACTAAATTAATTTACCGGGCTTCTATAATGGTCAGGGCATGGCATCAAAACTTGGCAAAGTTCATTATAGCCCATAGCTTTTATGCCCACTACTTACAATGGGACAAAAGAAAAAAGGAAGACAGGCAAGAAACCCACAACCACCTGGAAACCTTGTTCCACCTCACCAAGTTTCACCTTGAAAGCCATTCTCCCACCACCTGGATCTCTGTGGATCACCTATGAATTCTGAAGTGATGGCTTTGACAGCTTTATACCCAAAGCTGCTACTAAAACACAGACATCCACAGCAAATACAAATGGAGTCATTTGAACCAGTGAAACAGCACAGGCCAGAAGTCTGGCCCTGTACTCTATAGACTGCAAGAAAATGCTCATAGTCTGTTGCTATCATTCTTTAAGTTCCTCCAAGTAAGAAACCTTCATGGGCTGCCATTTCTAATAAACAAGACAATCATGGTACTTATCTATCAGAATAATAACATTACACTGGAGATAACAGTTGTCCATAATTAATGGGAAAAGATTCAAAGAGGTTGTATTAGTCTGTTCTTGCATTGCTATAAAGAAATACCTGAAACTGGGTAATTTATAAAGAAAAGAGGTTTAATTGGCTCAGGATCCCACAAGTTGTACAGGCAGCATGGTAGTATCTGCTTCTGGAGAGGGCTCAGGGAGTTTTCAATCATGCAGAAGGCAAAGGGGGAGCACAGCATCTCACATGGCAGGAGCAGGACCAAGAGAAAGAAGTGGGGAGGTACCACACAATTTTAACAATCAGATCTCATGAGAACTCTACCAGGAGAACAGCACTAGGGGGATGGTGCTAAACCATTCATGAGAAAACTCCCCCATGATCCAATCACTGCCCACCAGGCCCCACCTCCAGCACTGGGGATTACATTTGAACATGAGATTTGGGTGGGGACACCGATCAAAACCATGTCAACAGTGGAGAGTAATAATACATTATTGATTATAGATTCATTGTATGTCCCAGCTGTGGTTTGAAAATCATCAAGAATGCCCTTTTCCAGCTGGGCATGGGGACTCACACCTGTAATCCCAGCACTTTGGAAGGTCAAGGTGGGAGGATTGCTTGAGCTCAGGAAGTGGAGACCAGCCTAGCAACACAGTGAGATCTCGTCTCTACTAAAAATAAAAAATTAGCAGGGCATGGTGATGCATGCCTGAAGTCCCAGCTATTCAAGAGGCTGAGGTGGGAGGATCACTTGAGCCCAGGAGGTTGAGGCTGCAGTGAGCAGCTGTAATCATACCACTGTACTCCAGCCTAGGCAACAAAGTGAGACCTGTCTTTAAAAAAAAAAGAAAGAATGCCCTTTTCCTTCCAAAAGAAGTAATCATTAAAGATAAACAGAGTTGCCAATTTGGGGGTGTTCCTTCTCTATTAAGTCACTGACACAAGTCAAGTGTCTAGAAAATTCTTTATTTTGGAGAATCAAAGCACACCTAATTTAATGGAGACACAACTGCTGTCCCAGTGTAGCTGATGGAGCAGATGAAAGCAAAATGCTTCTCCCCATTTTAAGACATTAAACTTCTGTAAGAAACTTTCATTTCTCCACTATTTGCTTAGTTAAGGTCAAGCTGATCAAAGTTGATATTAGTTTTACATTGGTTTATTTATATATTTATTTTGAAGGTTAAAATTAGCCATGTCAAAATGAAGGACAGATATAAAATAATGAACACTTAGAGGTGTAAATATAAAAATAATATTAACCTAAGATATTCCAGTTTACAGTCATCTTTAAGGAAGAATAGTAAAAGAAAAAAATGAAGCTGGAAAGAAATTATTTTTTAAAATACTCCTTTACATTCATCTTTTTTCATTTCTTATAATGGACCAATTTAATCGAAGTGTTTCTCTTCAGCACATCAACCTCTGTATTGTCAAGATTTGTTAGGAAAAAACATATTTATACATTTGTAGTATAGATATGTATAACCACCTTGTGAAAAATGTTTTATCTTTTGTTATTCCGTGTGTGTGTGTGTGTGTGTGTGTGTGAAATCCAGATGTCCTAATGAAAAGCCAGAATTCATCAGATGTTGGAACATCACTGTGGTATAAAGGAATAAACTGAAGCTATAAAATGCATTAAAAGGACACTTAAATACATTTGCCTAACAAGTCCCCTTGGGGGAAAAACTGCATTAAAATAAATTTTGCACACACACCAATTTTAAAAAGGAATTAACTGCTTACAAAAGTTCCAGCACACATTGACCTGTTTTTTTTTCATTTTTTAAGATGAAAGCACCTGGCCACAATTGACGTTAACAAAAACACACACTTAAATTCTAGCAAAGTTGATTTTAATAAAGGATAAGGTAAATTTGTTTTAACTGCTGTTAAGATATAATTCACATACCACAAAATTCACCCTTTTAAAACGTACAATTCAGAGGCTTTTAACGTAGTCAGAGTTGTGCAACAATCACCACTCTCTGATTTTACCTTTCTCTCTCCTAAAAGAAACCTAGTGCCTACTAGCAGTCATTCCTCACTTCCTCCTCCCTGCTTTCCTAGGCAACCACTTCCCATCTCTGCAGATTTACCTGTTCTACACATTTCATACATAACTGGAATTATATAGAACAAGGTCTATTTTGACTTGTTTATTTTAGCATAATGTTTGTGATTGCATTTATCAGTGCATCATTGATGAATAATATTACATCTAACATTTTCATATTACATCTAACATTTTTAAAGACAAGTTTCAGAAGATTTGTTGGTATTTTTTTCTTTTGTTTTTTAAGAGACAGGGTCTTGCGATGTTGCCCAGGCTATACTCCAACTCCTGCGCTCAAGCAATGCTCCTGCCTCAGCCTCCCAAGTAGCCAAGGCTATAGGTGTGGGCCACTGTGCTTGGCTAGATTTGTCAGTCTTCTAATTTCAGGCCCCCATGAAAATATTTTTTGAGCAGAAGAGATTAGGCAAAAAGGTGTCTTAAGAGAGTTAGTAGAAAAAAATCAATAAAAGACTCTAGAGCAGCATTCTCCAATAAAAATATAATTAAATCTACATACATAATTTTAAATTTGCTAGTAAACTGTATTTTAGAAAGGAAAAATCACATGTTGTTTATTTTAATACTTATGTAATCCAATATAGCCAAAATATTATCTTCAATATGTAAATAATATAAAAACTAATGAGATAGTAACACTCTTTTGTTCTTATCATACCCGTGATGTAACTTAGCATTTATTACAGATCTCAATTCAGACTACCCACATTTTAATGGCTCAAAATAGATCTAGAGAGTGGAGGGACATCAGAGAAAGACAGGAATGGCTAGAAAGGATGAGGAACATGAAGTGAAAACAGAGTGGAAAATGGAAGGCTATCTGGGAAAAAAGTAGGTATATTTTATTTATTTATTTATTTATTTATTTATTTATTTATTTATTTATTTGAGATGGAGTTTTGCTCTTGTTGCCCAGGCTGGAGTGCAATGGCATGATCTCGGCTCACTGCAACCTCCACCTCCAGGGTTCAAGCGATTCTC
Source organism: Homo sapiens (assembly GCF_000001405.40). Taxonomy (NCBI): domain Eukaryota; kingdom Metazoa; phylum Chordata; class Mammalia; order Primates; family Hominidae; genus Homo; species Homo sapiens. The sequence continues at coordinate 812,100 of NT_187556.1, forward strand.
CTGCCTCAGCCTCCCAAGTAGCTGGGATTACAGGCACCTGCCACCACACCCAGCTAATTTTTTGTATTTTTAGTAGAGACAGGGTTTCACCATATTGGCCAGGCTGGTGTCGAACTCCTGACCTTGGGTGATCCACCTGCCTTGGCCTCCTAAAGTGCTGGGATTACAGACATGGGAGCCACCGTGCCCAGTCAAAAATAGGTAAATTTTAATTTCTTCGTTAAATATTTTTTAGTCCCACATCTAGCTACACCTAGAACCCCTATCACACTGTGCATGACACTTGGAAAATTAATTAATTGGGTTATCAAGGGGACTATAAAAAAGGAACAATAAATGCCTGTCCTCAATAAACATATCACCACAAAAGGTAAAATATTTAAAAAACTGTACATTAGAAAGTGATGCCCCCTATATGACAAATGCAGATAAAGTGTGGAAGAAAAGGTTCAGAATTTATTCACAACTAGAAAAGTCAAGCACTGCCCTTCCAAGTTTGTCCTATATTCTCTCTGCTTGTTTATACTATCTATTGTCTCTCTTACAACAGTTAAAATTAAGTGTTTGATGCTAGTGTTTGGATCACCTGGCAGCCTCCAATGTGCTATTCCCAGGGTTAATAACCAGTTTAGAACTGGGGGTCTCTGCTTACACATGTTGAATGCCTGTGATGTACATTCACCTCTTCAAACCACAAAGGCTTCAATTTACCTGTGAAATGCACCTTGATGCCACATCTATCCAACGTTTACCAACCATTCAAGGCCCCCATCAGCATTTAGCTCTATAACATTGATATTTTATCTTAAGTAGTTTTATATAAAACAAGTTTATACTTTAAAGATATGCACCTTTCCAGATAACAACATAAAACTAATATAGCTATTAGGAAGTGAGAAATTGAAGTATTTTATTCAAATTTTATTTAGTTTCTGCAAAATAATTCAGCCTTCTCTATAAAAGTCAATCTTCACGGTTTTTTTTTTTTTTTTTTTTTTTTTTTGAGACAGAGTTTCACTCTTGTCACCCAGGCTGGAGTGCAGTGGCACAATCTTGGCTCTCTGCAACGCCCGCCTCCAGGGTTCAGGCAATTCTCCTGCCTCAGCCTCCTGAGTAGCTGGGATTACAGGTGCCTGCCACCACACCCGGGTAATTTTTGTATTTTTTTTTAGTAGAGATGGGGTTTCACCATGTTGGCCAGGCGGTCTCGAACTCCCGACCTCAGGCGATCTGCCTGCCTCAGCATCCGAAAATGCTAGGATTACAGACATGAGCCACCACACCCGGCCAAACTTTACTTTTAAATAAATGATTCCTCCATGAATTACATGACAAACTTTTAGATAAACTAAATTATGCCTGGAATGCAAAGCACCTACTCACTATTGCATAATATTTTAGGCAATGAGCCAAACTATAAAAAATACACAAAAAAAAATCTCTTCATGTAGCTAAACAGTTGCTTCAACAGAAGTCAAGTAAAAAGTCATAAATTCAACTATTAAGTCAAACAGGCGTCTAGTCTCTAGATGGAAAGAAAATATGAAGACATAAACTAGATGAAAGCTGGCACAGAAGGCAAAGTAAATTACTTAAGGTCCCTAGGACTTTTGAGTAAGAAAAGAGTGCATTAACAACCCAAAATATCCATTTGTGTGATCTGCCTTAGGAGATATAAAAGGAAGGAAAAAGTTAATTTGGAAAAAATCAACAAAGCAGATCTCTGAAATCTGCTGTGCTGATAGAACCATACATCAAAAGTAATAAATTAAGAATTTTTAACATGTTATTATATATTTCACCAGGAGCCATCTAAAGCCTTTATTTTAGTTTAAATATATATATATACATATACATATATATATATATACACATATATATATATATATATATATATATATATATATATACAACAGATGGTCACACAACAGCTCCAGCACATTCCCCCGTGAGTACCTGTAACACCAGCATAACCAACTCTTCCAACTTGTGACAAAGGACAAAATTCGAGCCATAACACCAATGTTATTTTTTTTTAATTTAGAAGAAAATAAAATAAGATCACTGAGATTTAAAAAAAAAGACAATAACAACACAAAAAAAACACTGCAGGTCTACAGGAGTTGCAATAACAGAGGTCACAAAGGCTATGGATGGAAAGATTAAAGACAATTTGTTCTCTCTCCCGGGTTTGTTTTTTGCTCTGAAAAAAGGTTTGGGATTTTGCCAAGGACAACCCTACACTATTCTGATGTATTAAAAGTCCTCATGCAAAGCAAATATGTCCTACAATAAAGCAGTCAAATAAAATTTATAATTTCCAACAAGAGCAGTTTGGTATGTTAAACCAATTGAGAGTAAAGACAAGGCTGAAATGAACGTGGGACCCAGGGAAAGGTAGTGAAGATATAGAAAAGCTTTACGTAAAAAAAGTCTTCACACACTAAATCATGAAATAAAATGAAAATTTTAAAAGATCATGAAGAGTTTTAATTAAACAAGTTGCTTTTTTTTCAACAATTTCAGGGTAAAAATAATTGTAAAACTTTGATATTAATTTTGCAAATCCATATTTTAAATTCAAATTCCTTTTGTTACTACTATAAGGCTATAAATAGCTCAATTTCAAACAATTTAATCTGTGGAAAGACAATTCTTATTATAAAATATTTGGGAATTCCTTAGGGTTCTAAGTACAACCAAATCTATTCATATACCATGTTTAAAAAAAATGTAAAAATTATGGAAACGAATCAATAAGTTCCAAAGGTGAAGCTTGTTTCCAAGCACTAGTTCACTATTAACAATTGTCAGGGCTGACTTTATCACTTGTCCAGAACAAAATGAAAATGCAGGCCTTTTATTCAAACACCAGGAAAATGAATTCCTTTATCTTTCTTCCCAGGTGTCTCTCTCAACTTGTCACTTATTTTTTATTTGCTATTGAATGACAAGCTCTCTTGGGCATGGGACTATCCATGAGGTGATTAGAGACCCTCACAGGTACCTGGGGCCCTGTATCATAACTCAGTAAATACTTACCAAACTCAACCATACCCACACCTGTGCCCAAGCTCCCACTAACCCACCCCAGGAAGGCAAGAGGCATGGGAGGCAGACCATATGTGAGCAGAGGGTCCAAGCCTCAAGCTCTCGGCCCATTGTCTCATGGGGCTTCATTTATAAAACCAAAATCAAAGATAAAATTAATAAAAATTTCAAGACAGTAATAACAGGATATTAAACCCCAAGTGTGGACCCTCTTCTGAATTTGGGATCCTGTGTCACTGCACTGGTTGCCTGCCTAGGAAGCAAGTCATACTTGTTACTATGACTTGTTACTCAGTTGTTACTCAGACTAAGGGAAAAAAATTACTAAATGTTTTTTTCCTGAATGTTTTCTTGTAGCAACTACTGTCAGTTTACTTGGCTGAATCTGTCTTCATAGTATCTACTGCCAAGTCTTTGTCAATGCCACAATTACAGATAAAGAAATCTAATAGAAGAAAAAACACACTGGATATACAATATTTTACCTGTTAATTCATGTGTCAGACAATCCATACTAAGTGCAAAGCAAATTAGTTCTGAAGCTTAAAGAAGACAATAGCATAGGCAAGAATTGTCAAAGACGAATATTCTAACACAGATTTTCTTAATCTAGAAAATAAAGCAATTATATTTGAGGCACTTTCTATGCATAATGTACAAGAGCCTCCTACAGGTACAGGGTAACAACTGTAAGTAGATGCATTTCAGGTCTTTGAAATGTCAGAGTCTAGAAACACAAGACAATTAGGTTCCTAATAACTAGCAAGGGGGATAGTAGGCATGGCCAGATATTTAGACATTTAAAAATAAATTATTTTAATTTGGGATGAGAAAAACGGATTTTATGAGTACTCATTTTACAATATACAATGTTGCACACAATATACAATATGGCTCATTTTAATTGAATATACAAGGAAAATGAATCAACAGAAAAGGCAGAGTATGCTTCAAAGAAATGCACACAATATTTTTCAGCTAAGGCATTTAATATACATAAATTTTAAATGAAATGTAAGAGAAAAATAATATACAAATGAATAAACCCTTAAAAAATATCAGAGAGACTGAAGTTGAGAATCAACTAAAACTGAATGATACTAAAAATAACAAAAGAAGCTTTTACTATTATATTTTGGACACGAGGATTAAAGAAAATTATGCTTATATCAAGGCAGACAGTGAACTGCATTTTGTTGGTTTGTTTGAGGCAGGGTCTCACTCTGTCTTCCAGGCTCTGCAGTGGCACAGTCACAGCTCACTGCAGAGCATTGACATCCCAGGGTGATCCGCCCACCTCAGTCTCCCAAGTAGCTGTGACTACAGGTGAGCACCACCGCGCCCGGCTAATTTTTTTGTATTTTTTGTATAGACGGGGTTTTGCCACGTTGCCCAGGCTGGTCTCAAACTTCTTGCCTCAGCCTCCCAAAGTGCTAAAATTATAAGCAGGAGCCATTGGACTGGCCTAGTGCAGTGTTAACAATGGCAAATCCTATCTTGCTAATGTTACTCAGTTTGATGTTGAGAGGGTAAGATAAATATCACATACAAAAAGAAGAAAGTAAACCCTGCACATAGATGAGAATTCTACAAAATAGCAAATGTTCACTTCCAGTGAGTTTAGATATCCACTCCCAGAAGAACTACATCCTAACCGTAAGAAAACTTACAGATCTGTGTCATTGAAACCACTTTGTCTAAGGTCACTGATGACTTTCATATCACCAACGCGAAGCATGTTTGCAGCCCTCACTCTTCTTCATATTTCAGCAAAATTCAATACCGGTGATCACTTACTTCTCTTCATGTTCTTGGCTTCCATTATGTAAACCTACTAGTTTCTTCCAACCTTTCTGGCCACTCGTAGGTTTCCTTTGCAAATTCATAGTCCTCTCATTGGCCATTAAATGTTGGAATTTTTCCTTAGTATCAATAGCTTCAATTAGAAGCAAATGTAACTGTCCCATTAATCCTCTCATTGGCCATTAAATGTTGGAATTTTTCCTTAGTATCAATAGCTTCAATTAGAAGCAAATGTAACTGTCCCATTAATCCTCTCATTGGCCATTAAATGTTGGAATTTTTCCTTAGTATCAATAGCTTCAATTAGAAGCAAATGTAACTGTCCCATTAAAATTCTTAAAATTCCATAATCTAGATATAATCCTTTGCCCTCTACACCTATATATCCAACTACCTAATTGATTTCTTGACTTGAGTGTCACTATAAACTCCATGAGGTCAAGGACCACATTTGCTTATATTCAGTATCCTGCGTCTAACATCTCGCACAACGCGTGGCAATTAGTGGACACACAAATTATTATCAAATAAATAAATAAAGACTATTCTGATTAGAGAAATCTTAGTTGATGATGGAGAGGGCAACACTTTAACTGCTGATTGAGCCACCAGTACAAACGAATTTGGGGCTCACAATTTGTAGGAATATTAACAGGCTGACATGCATATGTTACTAAACATGTATGCATATACACACACACAATCTTAGACCAAATTTCAGTCTGGCAGCATCACACAAATCCTGAATTTCAAGTTTTTAGTTAAATAAACTCTTCAATGGAAGTTTATTAGGGCCTTCATTTAAGAGCCTGACAATACAATACAATACAATACAATACAATAACATTGCTTATCAGTAATGTTTATTTTCAAGGAATTTGCCTCTACTTGGACTTTTTCTGTTCTCAAGTTTGTATTACTGTTAAATATTATCTTTGATATAAATTGTCATGAGTAGAAAACTTTTTCTAAAATAGATTTGCAGAAAAGAATTTCCCACCAAAACCTCCAGCAATTCCATGACTTCGGTGGACAACACCAAAACCTCCATGTTGGTAATTCATATTTAGACATGTCCACCCACCCAAGAAGCAAATTTCCATTGGTTCTGTTTTATTTTCTCCTAAATTTTCTCTAACCTAACTAGTATTTGGCACTTTGCTTTAGTCAGAGATTTCTCTAACCCTTTGACAAATTCCAATGTTTCTGTTTCAATCAGAAATAATTTCCTAAAATCTCTGTACGAAATGAAAACACTGCCTCAAGCCAGGGAAATTCAATATACACATTAAACACCTTTTCAAAAAAAAAAAAAAAAAAACCTTAATGTATTCAATTTCACCAACATAGGGTAAGTTTCTTTTCCACAGAAGTTCCCATTGATAAAGAAATCTCACAATTTTTTGAAACGAAGTATTTAGGTGATAGCAACGATAAATGTACTTTTCACATTTGTAGGAAAAAAAGATCACTATATCCATGGCAAGATGAGCAAAAACAAACCAGTATCTAACATTGAAGAAACAGAAATGACTACTATAAGGAAGTGCTTTCCTCCATTTATTTTATCTAGCTAGAAAGCATATATTAAGCCATCTATCAAGAAACAAAAGGTTAGCTTGTGTACTTAGCTGTAGATGTATGCCAAGGGAAGCTGCTGTTACAAATTAATAAAGAATGCACACAAAGAGAGCATGCTTGATGCACTCGGCTTCCAATAACCTAAAAATACCTCCAAAATAATGTATATTCCAACATAGAAATCCATTTCAAATCCAATGAAACAAAATGCTGGCCATTTTTTATATTATTGTTATTTACTAACACCCTGGAGTAGCTTTAAAGAGATATTCTAGCACAAGTGTTGAGGATAGGAGAAGAAACAGAAGAGTAAAACAATCAAGTTAACTTGATATCTATGCCTCCAAACAAATAAGACTTTGGCTGCTTCAAGTCATATTTTTATTTTAATGTGAATATTTAGATTAGACTTGTGGTAGGCTGAATAATGCGCCCCCAACAAACACAAGTGTCTATATCCTAATCGCTGGGACTGTGAATATGTTAGGTTATCCGGCAAAGAGGAATTAAGGTTGATAATCAGCTGACGTTGAGATGGGGAGAGTGTCCTGGATTACCAAGGTGTACCCAATACAATCACAAGTGTCTTTAAATGTGGAAGAGGGAGGCAGCAAAGAAAAGAGATGACAGTGTGGGCTTTAAAGAGAGAGAAAAAGGGCCATGAGCCAAGAAAGATAGGTGACTTCTAGAAACTAGAATAGGCAAGGAAATGGATCTTCCCCTACAGACTCCAGAAGGAACCTAGCCCTGCAGACCATTTTATGGGCCCAGTGAGACTCCTGACTTCTGACCTCCAGAAATGTAAGAGAATAAATTTGTGTTGTTTTACGCCGCTAACTTTGTTGCAATTTGTTGCAGCAGCCATAGAAAACTAGTATAATACATACTTCAACAACTAACAGAACAACAAACTAACAACAATGAAAACATTATACATCCTGTTATTCCTAAGCAGAATAATAAACTAACCATCTTATATAACTTGTAGTTTGGGGAACTCATGGTCTATTTCAGACCCCATTAAAACAATTAGTTATTCATCCTTGGGTCTCAGTTTTCATATATATATATATATATGAGTTTATTGGAATGTTCTAAGGTTTTCTAGAGTTCTCAAGTGTTTTTGTGTCCTGAATGCTAATTATGAAGTGTTGTTTGAGCTTTGACTTTTTCTATGAAATCGTTTTCTTAACCTCTAATGCGTTTTTTTTTAAACAAAAGTAGTCATGTTAAAATCAATCCAACGTAAGTTCACAAAATTATTCATAATAGCCTAGTGCTTTTCACTTTGGGCCTCTAACAAAGTCTCTGCTTTACTATAGCACTACCATCATCTTTCAAAAACACTAAGTTCAAGTAAGAGAACTTGGTGTTGAAACTTAGAAAGTGTTTCAGTTAATACTTGCCTGCAGCTTTTTTCTATGTCAGAAGAGGCAAGACAAAAAAAGAAATCAATATTGTGCAGAATTTTTCTTTTAAATAATTCTTAACATACAGATTTTACAGGTTCAATGAGGCATTATCTAGAAGAAGAAACAATATCTCTCTCTTTTTTTTTTTTTTTTTTTTTAATGGCTAAGAAGCCTTTCCTGCAAACTATTACAAGTCTGGGCTATACAGCTTAACATCCACAGTTAAAAAGAAAGGAAAAAAAAGAAACTATAGTACACATTTTCACTGCATTTAACCATGTAGTGAATTTCTTTCTTCCTTTTTTTTTTTTTTTAAAGGAGAGAGTAAGTCACCAAACTGAAAATAAACAAGACAAGGAAAGTTAAAATCACATTACATTAAGAGCTAGGTTGCCTTCTATAAGTTAGAGAATCAAAATATTCTTAGAATATATGATAATGCCTTCAATAAATATCACTGAAGGACATCATTTAAAAGCAAATTTTATGCAACACTGTTCTCTGGGCTTTAAATGAATTTAATATTCCTGGGAGAAAATGATAGTCATGGCCAATAGTTGAAAACGGTCAGAGAATACATATATTCAACATTTTCCCAGCCACTGTAAGAAATATGCCACACATCAAGGTATTTTACAGGGCATCCAGTTTTCTGATATAAGTACTGTGAGATTCTTTTTACATTTTACTCAACAAAATAAAATTTTACTTTTCAAGACATTTGGAAGTAGAAACTGAGGCAGGAAATGAATGGGGGGGAAAAGTGAATGGGCAGAAGATTCTAGCTATTAGGGAAGATGAGAAGAAAAGGCTCAGACAATCCTGTTCCAGAAAAAAATAATAATGATAGAAACTTACCAAGAACAGTTTGGGGCAATAGAGATGGACAGGGATAATATTACAGAGGAGAAAAGAGAAGCCTTAAAGGAAAGCAATTATAAATTACTGAAAAATTTAAATCAGAAAGGCATTCACTAGATACAAAACAACCTAAAAAAAAAAAAAAAAAAAAAACTCACAACAAAAGCAGGTCAATTAATAAGGAGAATGTGGCCTGGCTGTGAAATGGACCAGGCAAATGGACTCACTGATAAAATACATTCTTTTTTATTTTTACCTATAAGCTAGTGGCCCAACAGGTGTATGTGGAGTGTGCATGAAGTTAACAATGGGTATTTTCACACTGTATTTGGGGCTGGGTTTCAAATGAGTTGAATATCGTCATGCTGATTATGGTTTCTCTTCAATTACTTTAATTGAGCTAATGTATAATAAGAACATAGCAGAAGCAAATAAGTCTGTGTGCCAGCTTATGAGCGGGCAATAAAACATAGCCAAAGAAAATAAGAAGACTGAAAAAAGGCGGTTGCAGAAACAAAAGAGAGAGAGAGAGGAAAAGAGAGGGGGGAAAGAAGAGGGTGGAGAATGGAAAGATGAAGGAGACAGTTCAAGAGGGCAAAGTAGAAGTTGACAGCAACACAGCCACACCTTGCCATCTCTCCAAGGCTGCTTCTTCCCTCCAGAGAGGATAAAGCCAAGTGAAATCAGGTGATTCTGCTGAGCTTTTGCTTCTAATTCTGTTCTTTGTTTCTCTGAAATTTTCTCCTCATTAATTCTGTGTTTTATTTGAATAGTGCCTCAGAAGCCCGGTTGTGTTGCTTCTGTTTATTCACATGGTTCGTTATGTCACAGGTGGTGCACCCGAGCTACATGCGGCAAGTGGGTGTGTGCACATGTGTGTTGCTTGTTTGTTTTGTTTTTTGACACCCTCCCCAATTTAGTTTAGGGAACTCCCTGAATTTTTGACACCCCCCCCCCCTTTAGCTTAGGGAACTCCCTGAATTTGTTTTTATCTTTTTATTTTGAAATAATTTCAAACTTACAGAAAAGTTGCGAGACTAACACAAAGAACTCCTGAATATCCCTTACCCAAGTTCACCAATTTTCAACATCTTCTACTATGTATTTCCCATCTTTACATCTATTTACCATTTATTATATATAATTCTACATATTAATATTTTTAAAACAACTTGAGAGTGGTTGCATACAACTTGCTCTTTAACCCCAATATTTCAATAATATATATTTCCAACTGTAACAATATTCTCTTATATAATCACAATATTGATGCCAAATTAAGAAAACTTAACATTGATACACCACAGTTATATAATCCAGAGTTTGACAAACCTGTGAACCAAATCTAGTCTGCCACCTGATTTCATCTATTCAGTTTTACTGGGACAAAATCATGCCCCTTCTTTTCTGCATTATTTGTGGCAGCAGTGTGAACAACAGCAGAATTGGATAGTTGTTGCATGAGACAACAGTATTGCCTGCAAATTCTAAAATATGTATTTCTTCTTTTATTTTAAAATTTTTCAAACACCTGATATAATTCACAGTCCATATTCAATTGCCAAGTTTCTCCATAATGTCCTTTTTAAGTATAATTTCCAGTCTAGGATTCAACCCAGGATCCTGCATGGCATTTAGTTTCAACTCACATCTCTAAATCTCCTTTAATGCAAAACAGTTCTTCAGCCTTTTTTCTCTTTCATGACACTGCCATGAAAGAATATAGGCCAGGTATTTTTTTAGACAATTTCTCTATTTGGATTTGTCTGATATTTCCTCATGATGAGATTCAGGTAATGCATTCTTCACCAGAATGCTACAAAAGTGGTTTTGTGTTCTTATAGTATCATACCTGAAAGCACATGATATCTGTCTGCCTCCCCTCAGTGATATTAATTTTGACATTCAGTTTTTCCACTATATGGTTACTATTTTTTTTTTTTTTTTTTTTTTTTGCCTTGCAATTAACAAAATGTCTGTAGGGAAGTGCTTTAAGACCATGCAAATATCCTGCTCTCTGTCAAATTTCTATTAATTCCAATTTAGTATCCAATGATTATTCTTTCCCAAATCAATATTTACTATTATGGATGCAAAGTGGTAATTTTCCTAATTGATTTTTACGATCAGAAATCAGATGTTCAGAAATATTAAATGACTCACCTCCTAGTTATTTTTCAAGGATGCTTTTGAGAACTTGAGAACTTTCAAAACTCTTAATTTCCATGATCTTAAAGTCTCTCAGAGTACAGAATGCCTGAACGAATGTTCTGAAGACTCAGATAACCAGAATCTCCTGCTGATCAGCATACAAAACCTATCTTGTAAAGCTACTACTGGGTTAAAAAGCTACATTTTTGAAACTCCATTATTTTCATTCTAGAATGAGCATCCATTTCTATAATAAACAAAGTAGAAAACAAACATTAAAGACAAAGTAAAACAAAAACAAAACCTGACATATTTTGTATAATCTGAATTTTTAGTCTGTTCATGAATCACTCCTTTCCATGTAACCTAACGGGCCACAGATCTTCATGCAATAACCACTGTCTTAGGCTCGAGAAATAATAAAACAAGGTGTAGGGACTGATAACTAAATTATTTGTAAGATCACTGCCAGTGTTTTGCTAGGTAACACTAAACCATATTCAATTATACCCTTGAGTCTCCTAATTCAAAGGGAGAGCAGGATGGTAGGGGAAAACAAACAAACAAACAAACAAACAAACCCTGAAAGTCATGTTGTAAGAGAAACATGAATGTTTATTTAAAGCAGAGGTGACATCACGGGACATGAGAGCTGTCATCAAATAGATGAAGGGTTCTCATATGAAAGAAACATCAGAAACTGACTTAAGACATTCACAAAAGTTTGAACTGTGTCCTAGAAAACACTACATTCTTCAATGGAAAAAAAAAATGATCTTCCTAACTCACCTGATCCTAGGAGAAAAACCAATGACCTCAGAAAATAAAATAAATGCTTAGAACAAGAACAAGCTGTGGACTGAATAAATGGCAAGGAGTTGGCAACATATGGCTATATAAGTATCTGTATACTCCTTTTCTCAAATCAAACTTAACTTCAAGAAACAAGGTTTTCAATGGCTCTGTCCATCAAAATATAAAAGTTTTCAGAACTTCTGCAACAACTGAAAACTCACAAGTGCCTCAGGCAGAAGCAAGAAGGGAAATACCTTCATACCAATGCTCACTGTCATTATCTTTTTCTTTGCAGCAAAATGTATGCCCCAAACTGTCAACAGCACAAGGGCAGGAAAAGATGCTGCTAAAAGGAAAAGATCATGTATGGGTGTTGCGAATGCATTTACAAACACCCAATGTCTCAACTAAAACTGATGCCATACAATGTAATAAATAGCTTAAGAACCATTAGTACTTGTACCAACTCAGGCGATAAGAACTACTGCCTTTCAGCATTAAGTTTATACCATAAAATGTGAAACAATCTCCTTTACACAGTGTGGCAAGGCAGGCCACATTCATTGGTATAGGATGATATAAAATGGGCCCATCCTCTCTTGGTTCACTTTGAAATTCAAACCCTGCCTTTGTGGGAAGCTAAGAAATTAGAAGTATCATTGCATAGTGTTTACACACAGGGCATCTATCATCAGACTGCTTGGGCCGAATCCTGGCCCTGTTATTATCAGCTATGTGACCTTGGGCCAGGTATTTATTTTCTCTGTATTTGTTTCCTCATTTATAAAATGGTGATAATAAAGGTAAGTACCTCATTTAGTTGCTGTTTGGATTATACAATATAATATTTTTAAAGAGTGACTTGTGCATAGAAAACATTTGAGAGGTAAAGCTACTTTCTGTTGGCAATAGGGAGGCAGTGAACATTTAAGACAGACTCCCATGATTAGATTTTTATTTCAGATAGATCACTTCGCGAGAACAGCGAAAGATAGATTGGTTAGGGGATGTTATCTGTGCAACTAAAGTGGAAGACAGGAGACTACTGCCACGGTCTAGGAATGATACTCTGAAGGTCTTAACTACATCAGTACTGGAATATGCAGAAGACATAGGTATGAGAGATTTTAAGGAGACAGTGCAAGATTTGATGTAAGGAAGGTAGGAAGAACCAAGGCCAACTGGCAAGTTTCAAGTTTAGGTAACTAAAACTCTGCAAAATTCATAAGAAACAAGGTTGGGCACAAATAATACAATTGCTTTTAAGTATGCTGAGATTGAGGTACTCCTGGGCATCACTGTGGGTTATGGTCTTAGGTAAATCTGAAGCACAGGCTGGGCTGAAAAACAGAGGACTGGGCTGGGATATTTATTTGAGAGCCATCATTTCACTAATGAGAAAAATATGTTGCTATTTTGGAGAAAAAGCAGGAAGCACTTCCTTTAAAAAGACAGTATATGGCCATATCCATTATACACGATGTTCAGTGTCAAGTATTTGTGCAGTATTTAATACTGACACTAAAATCCTCCTATCAGTAGCATTCTACTAAGTCTTTGAACTCAGCACTTAGAATTCTTTTTCTTAAAAAAAATTTAGAAAGGATATCTTACCAAAACAAGTTTTCCATTACAGTTCAGTCATCATGTCATTTTGTAATTCTCCAAAGAGGACATTCACAGTACAGATTTACTTCTGTCACCCAAGAACTACACTCTCACCCCATAAGGCAGTCTTTGTGTTTACAGCACTTTTCCCCTCATATCAAGAGCCTATGTCCATCATTTTTACTGGGGTCATAAAATCAGACCCTCAACAATATCTTGGGACACACATACACACACACACAAATGATAACTCTGGATGAAGACAGATATGTTAATTGATTTGATTGTGGAGATCATTAGACATGTATATGTATATCAAATCATCATATTAGTACCTTGAATATATACTTTTATTTGTTGTTGGTTAAATATTTAAGAAAACAAACAAAACAACTTGGGTAGCATCTTGCTCATGATATGTTCAGAATGTGTTGTGTGCTAGAAACCATCCTTGTTGTCTGAGGTCAACCAATCCAAAAATATGTAAGCAGTATGAATTATCAGCTAAACATGAATCTTTAGAAATAATATGTATAAACAATACACTGGAGAATCATAAAGTCATTTTAATAAAGCAGGCTTAGTTCAACAAGTGTATACCATATATATATTTAGTTTTATTTCAACACTCTTTTTACTGTGGCTGAGTAGTGTTTTAAAATTATTTAGTCTCGTTCATAGTTAAGAAAACAATTTCATTTTGGTTTGATTCAGCAAATGCATTCATAGTTTTCAGGTTTAGCACATATTTAAGTCCTGGAAATCTGCAAATAATTAGTGGGGAACTTAGGATATGTGATATTAAGGTCTAGATGATGACAAATTTCAACGAGTATGGGTACTTTCTAAACTGCTTTTCTAAAAAAAAAAAATCAATCTTGAGAGTGAAAACGAATAAAATCTTACTAGGATGTTACCACAGTATGTAAAATAAAAAGGCTTCCATGTGTTTTCCAAGCACTTAATAAAGAGGCAATAAAAAGTTAAAACGTGATTTCCAAATTTTATGAAGAAGTCAGAGCAATCATGAAAGCCAAGAAGGATAAAAATGTTTACCCATTTTGGTGTGAAATTACCCTGAACTAAATTTTAGAAAAAGTAACAAATTTGTGGCAAATAAAGCAAGCTAATTTTATTTCAGGAAGCTAACAAATTCTATTAAAGAAAATATACACAGTTACACTTAGTAACTAGCAGATGTATTATAGCTAGGCAAGAGATCTTGAAAAAAGGTAACATTATTTTCATGGTTGCATTCACCATTTACCACAAAGTTGCAATCTCTTTTCTGTACCCTATACACAGTTACACTTAGTAACTAGCAGATGTATTATAGCTAGGCAAGAGATCTTGAAAAAAGGTAACATTATTTTCATGGTTGCATTCAACATTTACCACAAAGTTGCAATCTCTTTTCTGTACCCTATACACAGTTACACTTAGTAACTAGCAGATGTATTATAGCTAGGCAAGAGATCTTGAAAAAAGGTAACATTGTTTTCATAGCTGCATTCAACATTCACCACAAAGTTGCAATCTCTTTTCTGTACACTTTAGAATAAATTAAATTCTAAAAGCTAAATTTCAAGAATAACCACCAAGTTTCAACTAATAGTATTTAAAAGCACCAAAGAAAAGACTACTTATTTCATTCAAAAAGACTAAGAAATGAAAAACTGTGTAACATGTAGCTGATATTTGTGATTAAAAAAATGTAGAGAGAAAACATTCAAATATACAATTTAAACACTGACTTTTTTTATTAGTAAAAACCCAACCTGATTTTAAAAAGATCATAATTAAAATCCGTCTTTTTTCATAGGACAGAAATAAGAAACAATGTTCAATTCTGAGGCCTTTGAGGATAATTTAACAACTCCTTCTCCAGCCATCACTCTCCATATGCCATTGCCACTGCCACCAAAATGAAGAGGCCTAGGATAGGAACTGCACAATACGTGTAAAGATACAATTTAAGTATCACCTTACTTAGGGCAAATGTGTGGAACGTCATTTAAACTCATTGAAAGAGAGGGTTTGGTATTCCTGCCTACTTGGGAATTAATTAATTCAGACAATCTTTGGAGATAGTGTTCTGATATCTACCATTCAGTGGGGAAAAAAAGCAGAACAAAGATCAAAGAGTTTAAAAATTGATGTGATTTTGCTTATGGCTCATGGACTCCTTCATGCCTTACTTACACTCTCCTTCCTAACTCTTGTTTTCTGATAGAATACCAGCAAATACATGAGACCTTCCTTTTTTGCCTTCTCACTGGATCCATTCTGGACCCATCACTGTGCCTAAGTATTGGTGGCTGCAAAGAGTTGCAGCTGACCACACCTCAAGTACTGCTTGGTACTTTTATTTGATGTGCTAGTTCCGGAACTGCTCTAACCTTCTTTGGTCTTCTCTCCACACTGGAGAGTGCAATACAGATATTCAGGTAGCCCTAAAGTGACCTTCATGCTGACAAATGCAAACAAAATAATGTTACAAAACAAGACCATAGGCACAGGCCATTTTGGATTTTTATGATACTCTGCCACTCTCGGAAAGAGATGATTTCAAATACATGTGAGTTTTGGGGGTTTTCTGTTTGTTTTTTAGCAAAAGTAAAGATGACGATGCCTTGGGTGTTTGCTATTCAGCAGAACATTTTCAGTTACTTTCATTTTCACTTGCCCATATCAGAGAAAAGCAGTATTATGGATACAAAAATAAAATTGGTAAGACAATATTAAAGTTTTGCTAATTTACAGGCAAATAAAGAAGCATCTCCAGTTTTAGGTTAAGATATATTGCTAGGAAATAAAATTCCTAAGATACAAAATTCCTTATAGTACTTCCTCTTCCTGGACTCACAGGTGAGTTGAGCAACCAGCTCCATACCAACTTCACCTTAGCCATCCAGCTGGCTGACTCTTCCTCAGCCAGTGCTCCTGGGCTCCCACTCCTCCCTAGAGAGCTATAAAGCAAGCCAAATGTTCTCAGTGGGCAGGGGGATAGATTTGAAGCTGGAATAAAGCCTCAGCAAACACTGACTCTACTAGAGTGTAGCTGGTATTGTTCCAGTTGAAAAAAGGGTGCTTAATGACTAGCCCAGAAAACTTGTCCTGCCACAAAGTTTATGGTGTGTTCAATGGCCCAGTTCACTAGGGCTTTACTTCCCCAGCATCAATAAAACTGTATGATTCTGGTGCAAAGTTATTGCAACTAATTCAATGTCTCAGATGGAAAAAAAAAATTCTGCATTTTATTTCTGAAATGATTATGACACTAAAAATTAGGGGGAGGGGAACCCAGTAATTTTGGCCATCCTCATGTAGATCACTGCGAGCTTGCTTTAAGCCGTATGAACTAAATGGAGTTATAAAATTCCATGTTGACTCAATCCCAGTCAATGTCCAAATTTCACTGTAACAAAATCCATCTTAATTCACACATAGTGTTTACAGATGGTGGTCATGACACCAAGCTGGCATAGGGCCTCTTTGTAGTAAACAGATTGGGAGGGGGTACATTTTTAATTGCAATAGGAGTATTAAGAAAGAGGTTTCACACATAGGTTTTCACTCTCTGCCTTCCTAAGAGAGAGATGCTTCACTTGGATAGATGGTAAACCAGTATAGGTAGAATTTGAAAGAGAAATGATTAGAGGGGATAGTTAATTGCTCGTTGAAAGCAGAATTAAAAGGAGAAAAAAGCTTTTCTTTTCTCACAGCAAACAAATTAAGTGTCTTGAATTTTACTTAACACTATTTTCCTACTTGCTAGAATGTCTAACTTCTGGTTTTTGGTTAAAATAAGCACTCTATTCTTATAATCTTCATTTCCTCCACAAAATTATTTCTTTCACTTCAATATTCAAGAAATAGCTCAAGGCTCAAGGCAGTTGCCCAGAATCCACTTACTATATCTCATAACCAAACTCAGTGGTGGCTTTCTGAACCTCTCAGATTCCCTTTGCCTTTCCCATTTCTCTAAATGTTTGCCCTTGACTTCCAACTTCCAGACATGTTGGCTCTGAATTACACGAAAGTGCTGCCCCGACTCCCACTCCAATACCACACCTTAGGCCAATGTTCTTTTTTCTGATTCCTTCCTCAGTGAGCTCATTGTTCTCATCCACTTTCTGTTCTAATGACAGCCTGACTGTGGCTGAAACCCAGGAGCCATCACCAGGCTTGACCTCTCTCATTCCCCTTTCGCGCTTGTTCTTCCAGATGCCTGCAGGACATCTCACTCACATGTCAACTAAAATTGGATAGGTGAAAACCTGAGCTCTTCTTCCCCCAACAATAAGCAAGTGTTCCTAAATTCCCTGTAATCTTCAGTATTACTTTTGTCCTCCCAAACCCCTAGGCTCATAAAGTTATTTGTGACTCTTTCTCTTCTTTATCAACATTCGTCCTGTCTAAAAAACTACCATTTCCACCTCCACCATATCTCCGTGCTCTATCCATTCCTCTTCAATTTTAAATGTGGTTCCAGCTCATGTCCTTATTCCTCACATATGAATTAGTTAGTCCCTAGCTCATCCACACACCTTCAGTTTCTTCTCAGTTCTGAATTGACAGAATAACCTCACACAACAGGTAAGGCATCTTACAGAGCAGTTTAACACCCTCATTTTCCTGATGAAAAGCTAAGGCTCAAAAAGGTGAATTAACTTCCACAAGTTCACATAATTGGACGTGAAGCCAAGGCTACAAAGCCCAGGGTTCATGACTTCCAGTCCAGTGTTCTGCCCACTTTATCAGAA
The DNA here is from genome assembly GCF_000001405.40 of Homo sapiens. Classification (NCBI taxonomy): domain Eukaryota; kingdom Metazoa; phylum Chordata; class Mammalia; order Primates; family Hominidae; genus Homo; species Homo sapiens. Next base: position 830,128 of record NT_187556.1, read on the forward strand.
TGCTTCCAATACCACATCAGCCACCCATGGCCAAGGCCCACTCTTCATACATCACAGGGAACAAAACCTAAAATCTTACACTGTACTATTCAAGCCATTAAAAATACTTTCACTGCTTCTCCAAATTCACTTCTCTTTACCCAGTGCTATAATCCCTCTTCCTTAAGTCATTCTCTTTGTCACATTCTTACCAACATATCTCCGCTACTAGATTGGTACACATACCATACCCTGGACAGTCATTTACTTTTATACACATTACAGCCCTGAGAACAAACTGCAAGACCCATAAAGAGTCAAATAGGTTTGCATTTTCAATTCTAAATTCAGAGAGAGAGAGGAAAAAAAAAAAACTAAAAGCTCAAATTACACCTTATCTTTTGAAGTAATTTTGAAAATGTATTTTCTTCATTCATACATAGTCTTTAATTTCATTCAGCTGTTAACATGAAATATGTGGCCAATTATTTAGGTTCAACTGTTAACTGGCCACTTCCCTTACCTCATTGCCAAGATTTAGAATATGAAATTCTATATCTTTTTTCATATTTGCAATTTTGCATACCAAATGCTCTGCATTTTAGTTGCTTTACATTGATGGATGTTTACAACTTGCAAAACTCCCCAATAGACTAACCAATGCAGATTTCAAGATGATGAACAAAGATTAGATAAATGAATGGAAACTCACTCTTTAAGTGACCAACTAATTCATTATTTTCCTACCATAATGATGTCTGTTTCCCCATGTGATACTGTAACATTGTATTGCAGGGATTGTGGTATCAAGACCTCCTTTATTAAGAATCCCTTCCACATCTTTTTCTCCTCTAGTTGTAAATCTACCTCCCTCTTTCTTGACCTGATTCAGTATCATTCCTCAGTTGCCTTGGAGATATTCTGATTGAAAATATTATAATTATAATTATAATACTGTTGACTTGTTGATAGGTAGTCTTCATCCTCTACCAAGAACTTTCATGAATATACATTTTAAGAGTATCCAGCAAGACATACATACTTCAAAGAATTGGGTCTTATAGGTCTTTTATCTTTTCCAGGACTACATAGACAACATTTTGCAGAAAACAAGCACACTACAAAGGCTGGCTAACTAAATGAAGGGGGGTTCTAAAATGAACTGTTTGGCTACCGTACATTTTCTTCTCAGAACTGAATTTTGTTCTAATCAAATATGCTATCCCAAAAATAAATAAATAAGAACTAATGAACGAATCCTGCTTGCATGGATTTCAGGCAATGACACGAATTAGCAATTTACACTGTTTCTTTTTGGTTGTTTGTTTTTAGGACTTGCCCCTAGCAGTTCAAACAAGAAAATTGACTCTGCCGGCCCTAATGAGACCTAGAACTGTGCTGAATGATGTTGGAAAACATTCCCCAGATCTTTTAAGACGTGAAGTATAAGTGAAACAGGCAGGGCTATAATATCCACCCAAGCCTACAGTGAATTTGGAAATACATTTCGGAGTTGCATCTCTGTTTACATTTTCTCATAGTTCATATTGCACTGTAATATATTTGTTCTTAGCCACAATGTATTGCTTACGCTACTCTGAAATGGGAGCGGCCTTAAAGAAAATCCTGCCTATGAATGAGATGTGGTCATGAGACATGGGAGGAAAAGGGGTGGAGAAAGAAAAGAAGGACTAGAAACAGAGACCTGTTTAAAATAAAATTTATACACCAGAAGAGGTGGATAGAAACATACTTTAGGAAACAGACTCAATGGAAAGGCTAAAAGTAAACTAGCAATGTGGACATCTTAGATAGTGAGAAGTTAACTCAAAGTAGTAACAGCCAAATCACAGAAAAGCGCCTCAAAAGCCACCCATGTACCACTTCAGTTCGTCGGTCAGTGAACAGTTTCTGCTACTGATGAACACACACCAACCAAACAGCAAGGTGCTAGGAAATACAGAGAATTCCCTCTTCTACTGTTTGCAATCAACAAGACAGCAATTGTTCTTGGTTGAATGGCTTATTCTGGGAATTCTTCTGACAGGAGGGATCAGATAGCATCTGTCTCTTACAAGCAAAGGCATTAAGCCAATGAAGAGTTATTATTCCAGACAACAACAAATGAAGTCAGAGCACGGAACCAGGTGGTATCCTGCTCATAAAACCACTTGATGCACCAACATTGTCCTTTTTTCTTAGCTGGGCCAACTAAGGCTAACTTCCTTAGCTGCATGATTCTTAATAAAATAAAATTATACTAATCTGAATGTCTCTTAAATATTTAGACAGAAGCCCTCAACAGTGTAGTAATGCCAACAACACTAGGCCCAGCAATTTATCTATTTATTTTCAAAAGTTTGAGCAAAGTAGTACCTTATTACATTATCAAGGCCTACAAAAGTCGTGTTTTTTCTACAACTTTTTTTATCCAACAAATTCATTTACATCTTGTTTCTACCACTCGAAATGTTTAAAAGCAAAAAAGCAGCATGTCTTTCATTAAAATAATTTAATTCAATAATACAATTCTGATTTTACTTCCTATGAGAGGTATTTTTTTCTAGCAACTTGCTTTATCCTATTAATTCATTTACATCTGCTACTTTGTGTGTTTAAAAGCAAAAAGCAGCATGTTTCTTATAAAAATAATTTAATTCAAAAATAATATTAATTTTGATTTTTCATTTCCTTTTCATCTTCTTCTCCCTCTGATATTATAAATTTGCATAGGTAAAGTGTAGTAATATTGAACCTGACTCTCTTTCTGGGTAACTATGTATTAATTAAGGTGAACAAGGGAAGGTCCAAAACATAGTAATGGAACTCTAATGTGACTAAAGGAACTGACACGTTCCCCTAATCTCAGGTCTCAGACATTGCACAATGCATTCAATGTCATTTTGCACCCAATCACAGCTATCCCTTGATATGACGAACCAACCTGTCCCAAATAAAATCTCTGCACTCCCTCATCAGATAGTCAGTGCCTGCAACTAGTTTAGAATTATACTATAATTAAACTGAAACTCTAATTAAAAGTACTAGGCTAACGTGATATGAAATGTTCACAGCCCAATTATGTCTGCTTGCCATTGTCCTCTGGTGTGTATAGATGATATCTTTTTATGAAAATAATGGAACACAGATTTAGTAATGACATCCTGGGCAGGATGTCCTAATAATTTCCAGGGTCAGTCATTTCCTTTCCCATGTATTTTCCCCTCTTCGTGGTTCTGTTATGCATCCCTGGTTTCCCTTAATTCCTCAGAAACATATCCTAGCTACTGACCAAAGTGCCCTTCAAATATAATTAACTGGTAAATCCTAGATAGACACCTTATGGTTACCACGTGTATCAAATAAAACAAACAAAAATCCCCCATTTTTTTCTCATTTGGTATTAATGGACTTATTCATCACCCTTGGTCCTAAATTATGCTGAAGACAGACTAAAGTACAGTGATCTTTTAGCAAACCTATGTTTTCTCAAAAATATAGGTTTCAGTACCACCAACCCTTCTTTTTACTTCCTTCTCTAGAAGCCTTAATGATAAATGCTTAGCAAGATTTTAAACCCCAACAGTAAAATTATAACTATTTTGAAAACATAATGCTTGCTACAGGTTAATTTCAATCCTGTTTGTAATCTTAAATTTTAAAGTAAATTATTAACCTTCAATAAATTTCTACCTAGAGGCTTTAAACTAGCTTCAACAAATTTGAATAAGTCTGAGTTTGTGATGCTAATTTCATTGTTGTTGAGCCAGTTATCAAGTGATAATACTTACATATATTTGTCCCCATGGTTACAAGTAAACTAGGGAAGAAACTATTTCCTGACTAATATTTTATAAAGTAAACTTTTAAAACACAAATAAGTCACTTGTAAATTTTGTTAATGCTTTATTTTAAAAACAAAGTGTTGAGAAAATGTTGAATTATACTTCTGAAATACAAAATGAGGCAATGGAAAATTGCACCAATTTATATTTTTTCTGCTAATAGTGTCCTTGAAAATAAATTTAATTAGCATAGTTTGTTCAAATCGAATCACATTTTTAAACTCAATAGTTTCCTTTCCTTTCAGAAAATGCAAATCAAATCCACAACTCTAACTACTATAATTTTAATTTGCTTCAAAACACATACAAATATCATAAAAATTAAATTTCCATTTTAAGAAGCAGACAGTCTCAACAGGAGGCACATGGGATCAAATGCATTAGACTGAGGTCTCTGAACCCACAATGAAAAGGAAGAATGAGGTCCATATACCAAATGTAAATTATACGCAGTTTTAATGCTACCCACAAATAAATACAAGCTATATAATTACAATTCAACTGTATGATTAGGAAAATTATCAGAAATACCTAGTTGTCTACAAAAATGTTAACCTATGACTCTGTGGCAATCAACCCATAATCAGTTTTAAAAATTTAGAACAGTTGGTTATATTAGTACACATCACAAATTTATCATCAGGTTCTAAGTAAGTAACCAGCTATTGTGCTATTTAGTCTTCATGTAGTTCTGCTGCCATCAGATTTTCAACCATTTCTTTCACTGGGAAGAAAACAGAGTGAATGGAAAAATCTCCTGGCATCTCATGCCAATGTAGCCTTACATAGATCTATATCATTAAAATGTTTTACCTAGAAAGTCATTCATTGAAAATGCATGCACACACACACACACAGATAATGCCTAATATATAACAATCACTGTTATTACAAAGGCAAGTTCCCAGTCATGAAGAGACACAGAGATAATGTGTCTCATGTGTGTTGCTATGATAAATAAAATGAAGCAAATAAAAGAAGACTATTTTGCACAGTTGCTGTCCCCATGAGGAATGCTAGCGAATGAAGGAAGAGCCCATGGAAGAGCGATGGAGTAGCTCTTCTAAGGGGACCAAGACTGAAAGTAATCACCACCAAAGAAAGGATTTCGAAGGAGAAGAGGGATGTTGACAAGTTCCAAGAATAAACAGAATGGAGCTTCTGCTGGAAATATGTTATTAAGTAATAAATTAATAATGACCAGATAAGCAATGTCTGATTCTACGAAAAATAATTGTAAAACAAAGAAAAATCAGCGTCTTTCTTGAGTGATAAACACACTTTTTAAAATCTACATACCATCTTTTCATTTTTATAACAAAGTCAGAAGACAAGCTATCCTCATTTTGATCAAGAAGCAATTGTTTAATTAATGCCACTTAAGTAGTGACTGGCAGAGTTTACATTTGTGTTCAATTTTAGTTGAATTCTAAAATGTATGTTCATTAAATAGTTTCATATTTTCTCAATAATCCAGCTGTTAAAAATTAACCCACAGAATACTACCAAAAATGCACAAAATTCTGTTATCTTTGTTTTTTTAAAAAAAACTAATAAAAAGGGGGTGACAGTTTTTTAGTTAGTTTAGTTTAAAAAACTAATAAAAAGGGTGTGCTTGTCTGATTATTATTAATGTATTACTTAATAACATAGTTCCAGCAGAAGCACCATTCTGTTTATTCTTGGACCTTGTCAACATCCCTCTTCTGCTTTGAAATCCCAAGTATTTATTAGTAACATGGATAAAGTGGTAAACTAACTATGACACCAATTAATATATTATATGGTTTTTATGACAAACATAAAGAAAAAGTTTAGGGGAAAAAATCATGTTACTTCAAAAAGGCAGAAAACACAATTATATCTATACTCTGATTATAATTATTGAAATAATTTATGAATATGGCCAGGCAAGGTGGTTCATGCCTGTAATCCCAGGACTTTGGGAGGCCAAGACTGAAGGATTGCTTGAACTCAGGAGTTCAAGACCAGCCTGGGCAACATGGTGAAACCCTGTCTACAAAAAAATACAAAAATTAGCCAGGCATGGAGGCATGTGCCTGCAGCATCCACCTACTGGGGAGGCTGAGGTGGAGGTGGCAGTGAGCTGAGATCGTGCCACTGCACTCCAGCCTGGGTGATAGAGGCAGATCCTGTAGAAAGAAAGAAAGACAGAAAGACAGAAAGGAAGGAAGGAAGGAAAGAAGGAAGGAAGGAAGGAAGAAAGGAAAAAAATAAAAAGGGAGGGAGGGAGGATTTATGAATATGAACACAGAAAAAATATTTAATTGACATAGATATCACTTTGGTTGTGACAGAAATTCAACTGAAACTAGCTCAGAAAAAAAGAAAAAATGTATTGACTTGTGGAATCAAAGGAAATGTTGAATAGTTAAACCACAGGATACACAAGAAAGAAGCTAGCTCTCAACAACAACTGAACCAGGGAATGTTAACATGGCAGAGTACCTCCAGTTCCTCTCCCTAATTCTCTTCTACTGTTTGTTTCACATGGCAGGAAAGCTGCATGTTGTGAGCGCTGACATTTTAAATTTTACAATGTTCACTACCTGTGAGAGGATGGCTTTCTGAAGTAGGACTCATATTTTCCTGGTGTAGCTCAGGAACCCACCTCCTGGATAAAAGAAGGCAGGACACCTTGACCGAAAGTCCCTCCAGGACTGTGTTGGGCTTCAGAAAATGACACAGAAGTATGGCACTGTGGCACACTGGGAAACTGGGAAGGCCTCAAAAACAGCCTCAGAAGCAAAGCCTTATTCTGACTTTCTCCTGCCCTTCTGTCTCCTATCCCTCTATCTCCCCTGAAGCAAGTCATAGAAAACAAAATTTGTTTTCCCCAAGGCAACTCCTCTCCTCCAAAACAGGCCATAAAACCCAGAAAGGTCACCCTCTCCCTTCTCCATCCTTCCCTAAAGAGCCTCATTCCAGGGCGGGTCCAGCAGCATACCCAAGAGGAAGCAATACTACAGAAAGGCCAAGAAGAATGAACAGACAGGTGTTCACAAAAGGGAATGATCTAATAGTAACAGAGTGATGGGGGAGTGTCCATTCTTCATCAATCCTAAGAATAAAAATAGAGTTTTCCCTGCGTCTTTGGGCCTTCATTTCAGAAGACTCCCAGGTCACATAAAACTTGATTAAATACATTTGCTATGCTTTTCTCTTGTTAACCTGTCTTTTGTAATAGGAGCGGTCAGATGAGAGCCTTATCACCAGTAAGAAAAGGTATCAAACTTTTCTGCCCCCAAAACCGCATTCAATGAGGTGTAGATTCCTGTATTAGTCAGGGTTCTCTAGAGGGACAGAACTAATAGGATAGTTGTATATGTGAAGGGGAATTTACTAAGGAGTACTGACTCACACAGTCACAAGGTGAAGTTCCACAATAGGCCGTCTACAAGCTGAGAAGCAAGGAAGCCAGTCCAAGTCCCAAAACCTCAAGAGTAGGGAAGCTGACAGTGCAGCCTTCAGTCTGTGGCCACAGATCTGAGAGCCCCTGGCAAATCACTGGTGCAGGTCCAAGAGTCCAAAAGCTGAAGAACTTGGAGTCTGATGTTCAAGGGCAGGAAGCATCCAGCACAGGAGAAAGATGAAGGCCAGAAAATTCAGCAACTCTGTTAATTCCACTTTCTTCTGCCTGCTTTATTCTAGCTGCGCTGGCAGCTGATTAGGTGGTGTCCACCCAGACATAGGGTCTGCCTCTCCCAAACCACTGACTCAAACGTTCATATGCTTTGGCAACACCCTCAAAGACACACCTAGGAACAATACTTCGTATCCTTCAATCCGATCAAGTTGCCACTAGATATTAACCATCACAATTCCCAAAGCAAAATCTGGATGCTGTTATCAGAATGGAGAATAGATACTGGGCATCCACAAGCCAGATGCCTACTCTCTAGGAGCCAATAGAATACGCGATTTCTAACATAAACAAAAGCAGATAATTTTCTTTGAAATAAGGGTTCCACCTCACCTTTCTTGTTGAATATGCTGGATAATTACATTCCAAAATTGCTTACTGGAGTGCTCAGAGCAAAACCTCCATAGGATTTCTGGCAGTAGGCAGTAAAGGCATATGGTTCAAGAAGAAAAGCATCATACATAAGTTGGCATAATGGTACTGAAGTTTTGCAATAAATAAATTTAAATGTCATTTAATTCTTTGAAATCTAAAGGGAATTCTTAAAAGTAAATTTCAACTATGAAGAAAATGCAATAAATACTTTTTCAGCTTGTACCAACAAATAGAGTGTTTTAAAAGTAGGATAAGTTTACTCACACACAAAAAAAAAATAAGAAAAACTACTCTAAGCTATAAAGCCACTGATCTCTAATGAGAAAGAAAAAAACTCTACCATATATTAAAATAATCTTTTTCTCATAATTTACATTTCTTTATTTTTACCATGAATAGGAGAAAAAAGCATACTTTAAAAAATAATTAATTAATAATTCATGTGATTCTCTAGTACACTTTCCACAAATCATAAACTTGAGTTCTGAAAATATTTCCACAGCAACGAATATTAGTGCCATAAGTTGAGGAGTGCACCTTCAGGTATTAAATAAAGTAACATATAAAGAGAAATATTTTATTTTGAATAAGGAACATGTTTTTACTGATATGCAGAAATAGATAACAAATTGGCTTCATGATGGAAAAAAACTGCATAAATTGTTCCAAAGGCAGTTTATGTTTATTTTCACAGTTTAGAGTAAAGCTCAATGCATTCTCCTGTTTCTTCTTATCCTGGTAAGAGTCCTGCACACAGAGCAGATAATGGCTTGATCCATGAGCTGGAACAAACTTCACCTGGAAATGATGCATATGCTCCGGCCTGAATCATGATAACTAAAGTGATAGTAACATGGTTTCAGAAATTAAACAATACTTGTCATATAACTCTCTTAGTCATATAAAATTAAGGAAAATATAAAATCAATAAAATCTAATTTTATTCTTTTCATATGTGGCCATGTATCTGTATTAAATTACACTATATGAAAGGCACATGGCCATGTACACATTGTCTGTTCTTCATTTAATTACCTCATTAAAAGGAGGATCAGGAAAAGAGTCCATGTATTCATTATAAGTTTTGTTTTCCTATACAACCAACTCAATTTTAAATTTGCAGGAAATGTTTAATGAGCTCAGAAATAAACTTTTTATAATTTCCCAGATCAACCCTAATGTAGATATGTATGCAGTATAATCCATTCTGCATCTGCATTTTCAGGAAGCTTCCCACACTTACTCACCCTCGATGGTCATTGTATTGCATTTTTACAACTGTATCATTTCTTCAGGTATGCTGAAGCTTAAGTGTCTACGAAAAAACGCTACTACATTTTAAGAACTATTTTAAAACATGTAACATACTAAACATATTTAAGTAATTAAAAAGTACTCAATTCATCAGACCAGTCATAGGTGTTAACATGGTCACTTTAATTCAAACAACTGCTTTTCTCTCCTCTTTTCTTCTTCCTGTCCTTTCACAAAAAAAAATCTTTTCCAAAAGATGACAGTCAAGAATAGACTACAAAAGCATTCTTTTACTGAATCAATGAGACTAAAACTGGGGAAAAAAATGAAGCTGAGTTTTGCTGTTATTTGAAAAGTTAATTCGTGACAAGAAAAATGTTAACATGTTTGCTGACCCTACTTATTCTGAGCCATGAAATTGCTCAAACCAGAGCAAACTGCCAACCATGACGAGAGTAAAGGATTCTGCAGATGCATCATTCCTACATAGTATAGCCCAAGGTGAACAGTCCATGAGTATTATACACTAGAACGCAGAGGGCTGGGTACAGAAAATAAGGGGAGGAAAGATGCCAGAGGCAGAATATGGTCATACCGCCCAGGCCCCAATACTGGGAAGTTCTGTCTTCATGAGAAGCAGTACAGCATGGTGATTAACAGCATTGATTCCACAATCACACTCCCCATGTGTAAATCCTAATTCTGTCATTTTCTAGCCATGTGACCTTGGGGCAGTCGCTCAACCTCTCTGTGCCTTCATTTTCCCACACAGCAAAATGTGTATGTATTAGTATACTAGGGCCAACATAGCAAAATACCACAGACTTGAAGGCTTAAATAATTAATTAATTTTCTCATAGTTCCAGAGGCTGAAAGTCCAAGATCAAGATACCAATAAGGCTGGTTTCTCCTGAGGACTCTCCTTGATTTCTGGATAGCCACCTTCTGGTCTTCTGTCTTCATTTCTGTGAACACACATTCTTGGAGTCTCTTCCTCTTTTTATAAGGACATCAGTCATAGTAGATTAGGGCCCACTCTTATGACATCATTTAACCTTAATGACCTCTTTAAAGTCCCTACCTCCAAATACAATCACATTGGGGGTTAGGGCTTCAACATATGAATTTTGGGGAATACAATTCAGTGCATAACAAACAGTATAAAACAATAATAGCTACCTCACATGACTGTGGTGATGATTAGATGTATTACTATACAAGTGCCTGGCTCATGGGAAGTTCTATATAAATGCTTACTATTAGGCTAAGCCCCATTAAATTCACATGTCTAACAAGTATCCACAAATCACAGCATCAAGTGGATGAAAACAGACATTTGCAGTCTGTCTTTAAGATTTCTTGTATTGGGACAGTGATATCTTTGGGGATAAATGGAGGACACATCTTGCTGATAACATCTATCTCAATTCAAAACATGGGTGGTTAATATAGAAATGTTAGTGGTTCCTAACAGGAGCAAAACCAATAGATAGCTTTGATTTTCTCACATTCCCAGTGGGACACAAAGGCTTTTTGTGTCTCAGGATTATGTGCTGATAAAGAATGCGGAAAGAATGTTTATGAGGAAGCAGACAAAAGCAGCCTGGCTCCGGTGTATCCACACTTGGCAGCTGTAATGCAGTTTCGGCTACACCAATAATTTCCAATTATTTTTACCTGCAGTCAATTCTCAAGCTAGAAGACTGTGGTGAGAATATGAGATTAATTTAGACAGGCTCAGGCACTCATGTGAACACCAAAATCTGCCACTAAAACAAACATCAGGCTTACATTAATCTATCATTTTTTTTCTCTTGTTACCTTTTCAATCGCCCTTCATGATCCTGGCCAGGGTTCTGTGTGCGTGATAGATGGCGAATGGAATGGCAGACAGCAGCAGAACAACAGCAGCAAAAGTTACCGACCACAAGCACAGACACTGAAAACGAAAGCGGCTTGGTAACTAACAGGCTAATCTTCACGGCAGGAAGAATACTTGGCAATGAAACTTCCCCTGGGAATTGATTCACTACTGTTCACATTTGTTTAAATGAATTTAACATAATCTTCTAATTGTGGAAGTCTGATCCTATCACTCCCCTGCCTATCTGCCTAAAACTCTTCCATATCATCAGGTTGCCTCCAAGATAAAGTCATCATTCCCTTGCATAACACCCAAGGGTTTCATGATCTAGTCCCAACAAATTGCCACATTCATCTCTATTACAGAATCTTCAAAGATACCAGTAGCAGTTCCTAGTACCGTACTTCTGGGCCCTTCACATGCTGCCTTCTCTATCAAGAAAACCCTCCTCATTGGCTCTGATAACTGCTCTATGTCTTTGGTCTCAATGCTGATATCCCCTCCTAGGCAAATTCCATCCATCCACCCCCAACTGAGTAGTTTGCCTCTTCAGCATGTTCCCAGAATACCCCAAATCTAACACTATTATGGGATATATCATACTGTTACATTGTACATATTTAAGCAACTGCCTACTCAAAATTTTCAAGAGAACCTTGTAGCCTAACTATCCAAAAATGAAAATTCCAATATATTATGGTGGTTGAGATCAAGTATTTCTATATCAGACAGACCTGAGCTTGAAACTTATTTGTCTTTTATTACTCATATGGCCCCAAGAGAAGCTGTAACATGGAGACACAATAATATTTATTTTACGGGATTTTGAAGTATTTAATAAGTAAATACACTTGCCGCAGCACCTGGCATGAGGACAAGTTCATAGCTGTTATTTTCATGCTCAGTATCTAATTCATCTCCTACTACTCTATTGAATATAACCCACTCTTCAAGTTGGACTGTTTGGCCTGAAAATAGTCTTAAGTTTTCTCTTCAGCTGAAATACTCCATCTCCCAATCTTTGCATATGGAAACCCTTGCCTTCCAAAAACCCCTTGCTAGTGCCACACTTTCCACCTATCCTTTCCAAGCCTAGACCTGCTTTCTCCCTTCTCTTGGATAGCCCCCTTGTGCTTTTTGGAAAGGGCAGGAGACACTGATGTTTGCTCATTTTTGTGGCAACCCATACCCCAAATTTTCCCCCAATCCAGAGTGTGGTGTCCCATGTGCCACCAAAATGTAAGTATTTTAGAAGCCGGAATATGTGTTTTTATTGCTCTCTAACAATATCTGGCACATGGTAGGCACTCAACAATATATGTTAAATGAATGAGTGAGTTGGCTGTTTCTATTGCAAAAGAAAGCCAGCATTCACCTCCTTTACTTTTTCCTAAGAGCAAATTCTATTGACCAAAATTCACTAAAAACTGGAAATTAAAACTGCAATTTTTAAAAATTTATTACATACGAACATCTCAAGCCCAGTCAATGTACCCCCCGCTAACTGGCTGGGCGCGGTGGCTCACGCCTGCAATCCCAGCACTTTGGGAGGCCAAGGTGGGCTGATCACGAGGTCAGGAGATCAAGACCATCCTGGCTAACACAGTGAAACCCTGTCTCTACTAAAAATACAAAAAATTAGCTGGGCATGGTGGCAGGCGCCTGTAGTCCCAGCTGCTTGGGAGGCTGAGGCAGGAGAATGGCGTGAACCCGGGAGGCAGAGCTTGCAGTGAGCCGAGATCGTGCCACTGCGCTCCAGCTGGGTGAAAGAGCGAGACTCCGTCTCAAAAAAAAAAAAAAAGTACCTCCCGCCCCCTACACACACACACACACACACACACACACACACACACACACACACACACACACACAGAAACAACTATACTTATACTGTGGTCAATTCATAGAACTAGAAGAGAGTTTAGAAATCACCAAATGCAAATGCTTTATTTTAACCACATGGTAAACAAGCACAATGGGTGACTTGGTGTCATCAAGGCACTTTTCCTCCATCTCTTCATCTGGAAACTCCAAAGGTAACTGTCCCCTCATCTATGATGCTTTATCCAACTTCTCCAGATACAGCCAGTAACTCTGTCATCTGCCTTCTCTAAGCACTTCATTTCTACGTGAGTTATAACATTTATCTACATGTCCATTTCTCCAAACAGACTGAAGCTCCTAGAGGGCAAAACCTAAACAAAGCCTAACATAGTGCTGGTACACACTAGTGGTTTACCACATTGGTTAACGTTAAATATAGACAAACAGTAGTTACTAGAACAGGTGTCTGTGGTCCAACTACCTGGGCAGCTGAGGCAGGAGGATGGCTTGAGCCCAGGAGTTTGAGGCTGCAATGAGCCATGACCTCAACTGTGAACAGCCACCGCACTCCAGCCTGGGTAATGTAGCAAGACCCTGTATCTTAAAAAAAAAAAAAAAAAAAAAAGTGTAGTTACTTGAACCTGCTAATTGATAAATTTTAATTGTTTCGATAAGATTACGTGTTATGCTGACATTCACCATCACCATTTTTTAAAGATATAATGATTTAGTAGATTTTAAATTTAAAAGATAAAATAAGCTACATTATAGTAAATTTTGACAACAATTTTCCTTCTAAATATATCCCTGAAATTAGTATATTGTGTTTCAGATAAGATGTAGGAAGCTTTGTGATCCGCCAGACTTGCAGTGTGTAAATAGGGAACAACTTTGAAACTGCTGCCCAACAGCTGGAGTACTCAGCGGGAGCACTGCAGTTAAAAAAAAACACTTTTGTTTCCCTGGGGGCAAAAGGCTAGAGCCAAACACAATAGTACAACCAAAACAACAAAAGGAGAAAAAATGTTTACAGGATTTATCTTGACGCTTTGGGAAGGAAAATAAAATATTACAACACTTCAATGGAAGTGGCACCACGCCGTCATGCAATCCAAAAGCATTTTAAAATCTGCCCATGATGTTTTTTCTAGTAAACATTTCCAAAAGAGCCTGAAACTTGATTTATGTGTGTGAAAGAGAATTAGAGTATACCTCCCTACATTTTACAACTCACATTAAAACTGTCATAACGCCCTGAAAGTATAGGGGAGAAAGTAAGAGCTGAATTGCTATTTTTCTGACATTAGTAAGCAGTCACATTGTAAAGCCTTTGCTATTCTCACAAAAAATAAATAAATAAAATAAACAAAAATCTCAGTTCTCAACTCTCCGGTATGTGTTCATTTTCTAAGACAAACCACTAAAGAAAATATAAGAATTTTAAAAATATTTCTTCCTTTCTTCATATTTTATTATACATCAACTCTGTGCAATTTAAAACAAACTGTGTGGGTGAGTGTGTGTATCTATCCATTCATACACAGTCTAAAGAAGAGAAAGTGAATAGGCAAAGAACTTCAAAAATAGCAAAGCTTATCACTCAAGGAAGTTAAAGGAGAATCAATATAGAAAGGTGCCTGGGGTAAGGACCCAGTTGTTTAGAACTGAATTTTAAATGACTACATTTTAAACAAATGCATATGTACATAGATATATACTTTAAATCTTAATAAGAGACGCAATTTCAGGGAAAAGATAAAAGAATATATAGCCATGTTGCCTAAAAAAGGAATTATGTGAACTGTAAGGAAAAGGTAATATGCAAATTTGTTTTTAAATCCTCGTGGAGGCAAGAGCCTAAAAAAAAAAATCCTCCTTAAATGTTACAGTTCAAACCAAATACTCAGGCAGCATCTCTCATCCTTCCCTCTCTCTAAGTCCCCACAAATCTACTAGCATGCTCCATCACTCCCACCTTCAAAATACCTTTACCTGTACACTTCTCTCACCCTACAGTCACTTAGACTGCAACAATGTCCTCCTAACTGGTCTCACCAAAATCCACGTGGCCCCTCCAAACCCTTTTTCACACTATACTGAGGGCGATACTTATGAAAATTTGATCATGTCTTTTCCTTTAAGTCGTCATCGTTAGTTATAAGGTCCTGCATGCTCTGGCTTTTACCTGAAGCTTTGGCCACTCTCACCAGACTCTCCTTCACGCCTCTTCCCCAGCCATAGTGAGTGGGCTTCTCTCAGTTGCTGCAATGCACTGCATTCTCTCCAATGCACCGCATTCTCTCCAGTCTCCATGTCTTCACACAGGTGGGACTCTTTGCTTGTATCTCCTGCCTAGCTTTCCTAATGTCAAAATTCCTGTGCACTCCTTGGGTAAGACACATTCTTCTAAACCCCCTATATTTTTTTCTGGACTTTCCAAACTTAGGATTACATATTGACAAGTATATGTTTCACATCCATCTACCCCAGACTGTAAAAGTCCAGGATGAAAAGTCCACAATGAAAAGGACTATGACCTCAGTCCCTAAAGCATGCCACAGTGAAGGTGCTCAATATACAGCTGAAGACTGAGAGTGTCTTTCAAAATCTCAAGAAAAAAAGCAAACTTGATGAGGAAGCCCATCTTAGATTCCAGCAATGTGATTATCAGAAAAAACATTTCCCTAAATCTTAAGGCAGAAAAGTAGAGCAGGGATGGGGGCTAGTCCTAAAACCCAGTCCAGTAGTAAAGTAGAGAATAGAGAATAATAATTGTAAAATTCCACCTCTGATTATTATATATTATATCTAAGGAATTTGTCATATACTTTGTAACCCTATGGTTCCTCGCAGAATGTTGTAAATATGGTTAGCATTTAATGAATATTTGATGAATAACCATTTTTAAGATAAAATATTAAACCTAAGTGAAGTGACAACTTTAAGACCTTGAGATGTGAGATCAGGTCCAGATGTTATCCTTACATGGTCCTGTCCTGAACGATCAGAAAGACAGTCATGTTTGAAATCATATAATTTCTTTCAGTTTGATCATTAGTAACAACATATGCAGCTTTTTAAATTATTAGCATCCTGTAAGATTTATTATCTTCTAAACAAATATTGTATAATCTAACTCTAATTGCTTCTTGGTTTATGAAAAGCAAAAGTGTTACACAAGGTATAATAAACTAATGATGTTGTAATGTGACATTTTCAGGTGTGGCTTTTAGAATTACTCTCATAACACAATTATTTATAAACCAAGAAGACTATAATTTTTCTCACAAAATCTTACTCAAAATATAATTGTGCTTGGCATTACAATAAACCAAAGAAGGCCAAGTTGTTCTGGAATCAGTAAAACATTACAGGTAACAAACATGAGTTTACTTATAAAATAAAAATCGTAACATCCAAAAAGTACACCAAAATAACTCTAAGCCAAAACCCTCCTACATGCACAATAGTATGTGATTAATCACTTATAAAATTGCCTTATGTCAACTGTCGGAATTGAAGATGACTATATTCTATACTACCAGCAAGTGTTCACATTAGAGGGAAATAATAAACATGTATGTTCCAGTCAGTAGCAGAACACTAATTTTAACATTAATCATTTTATGATCCCAGGAAGAGGAGGAAAAAAATAACATTAAACTCACTTTTAAACTATATTTAATTTAATTATGCCTGGCTATATATACTTAAAAAATAACCATTTTATGCTGAGCTCAGTGGTTCACACCTGTAATACCAGCTACTCTGGAGGCTGAGGCAGGGCGATCCCTTGAGCCCAGGAGTTTGAGACCATCCTGGGCAACATAGGGAGACCCTGTCTTTAATAATAATAATAATTTGAACACAAACTAGACAGAAAATAGGTTGCTTTAAATACTTGAGATTTTTATCTTGGTTTGAAATGAGTAAATAGAAAATGTCAAATTTCAATCAGATAAACATCAAAGTGAGAGGGTCACCCATTTAAACACCTTGGCTTCCTTGTTTTGATTGAATTCATCCTATTTCCCCTCTTTTAAAATTTCTCACTCTGTCATTCTTATACCTTCTTTCCCATTATTATACATTCCAGTGTTAATACATCCATATTTTGATGAGCTCTGTTCTCTTAATTTGGATCCAAATTTTTAAGTAATTATCACCTATCAAAAAGGTTGTTTTTTTTTTTCCTTTCTATTAGATGTAGCTAACAAATAAACAGTAAAATCTCATTAACTGGAGGTGGGGTGAGATGACTACGAATCACTTTAAAATCTGAACTGTAGAACATTTTAAAAGAATATGTTGTGTATATTACGAAGTATTTTTAACAATAAGTAGTTTTAAGAACAGGTTGACTAATATGCATCCTTAAAGAATTTTTCTCATGAGTAGATTTAGATACTTTTCTATTAGCATAATGTTTGTCTGAGTTGTAAAAAAAAACAAAAACAAAAGCAAAAAAACAATTAATTTTCTTAGGAGCTGTAAATAAATCCCCTGAAACTGTAGTCATCCTGCTTCCTTAACACCCTTTTTCTGTCAAGAATGTTAAAAAGACAAATCACAGCCTAGCTTCCATTCCAAGCATTCTCCCATCCAAACTACGGACAGTTTCCAGTTTCAAAACAGAACCCTTCTCAACCTGGGCTCCTGGATACTGAGGGGACTTTTCAGGCTTGCCCCTTGTTGATGCAGCCCAGAGAATCTACATTTGGAATATTTATTTAAGAAACCTCATTACTTGGAAGAATACTGGCTTTTCTTGCCCACTTAAACGAACCAGCTCCCTCCAACCCATGGGGGAGACGTTTACTCAGTTCAATAAACAGCACTTGGCAAAGAGCCCTTCCTCTACTTTATTTGCATCCCAATATCCTCTTCTGCTTTTAGCAAGATGAGGCTAAGGGAATGCTGGAGAACAGTGGCATCAATGCTCCTCTGTCCAGATAACTGTCTGATCCTCTAAAGGTTGAGAACTATGTCTAAGTATGACAATGTGCATAACTCAAAGTCTTCAGGATATATACTGAATTATAAGGTTATGCCACACTGATACATAAAATGTAAAATATATATTTTTATGATTATATTTTGGATTAGGCCACAGAATAAATATGGAATAAAAACATATATCTTGACAAAAAATTCAGCTGGATACCCACATAGATAGATAAATAGAATGAATGGCAGAGAGAGAGAAGACAGGCAGCGGACAGCTACTCTGCTAGCTATTTTCAATTACTGAAATATCTCTACTCACAAGTTTTACAGTTGATTGGAGGTTTTGTGTATCTTTTTTATTCCTTTGTTGTTGTTAAGTCTTGGATATATTTTTATTGGTCAAAATTATTTCAATGTTCCATTGAGTATCACAATAGGTATTTCAACGTAAATTTTAAATCGAGTTTTATTTACATAGTGTTATTTTGTTTTAAAATCAAAATGCAGCTTTATTTGAAGACAAATGTGAATAATGAGTTCATACAGGTATGTCCAAAGTACATTTGCCTTCCATTGCTTTTGTCAAGAGTAATACCAAAATAGGAAAAGTAAATAAAAAAAAAACCTTAGCTTTATTCACAACATCCTGTCATAAAGAAGAAACAAAAGACTGTGTAAAAAGTACTCAACAGGACTGATCTCTACAAGTGAAAACACTGAACTGTAAATCTTCAGGTTCGAAAAATATTTTAAAAGACAATCCAGTCTTCCTAAGTCAAACCCAGTAGTCAATTAGTATTTGAAGGGCCAAAGGGCAAGGCATTACAATCATAGTAACTTACATATGTGTAGCTCAATTTGGAAAAGAATATCCAACATAAATTACCCAGTTTGATTCTCACAACCCTGTAAATATCCAGAAATTATACACGAATTGAGGATAAGGAAACAGGCTATATAAGTTAAATTACTCATTTACCAAATTACGCAAACTCTATGCTCTTTGCACTGTACCAGGAAGTGCCACGACATAATAGTTAAGAGAAAAAACTTGGAGCTTATAAAGTTGTGTGAATAGGATTTATAGCAAACATTGTATGAGAGAAGTATAGTAACTTTCCCATATTTTTGGCCAGACCCACAGTTAGAAATTCTTTTTGCATTGTGACTCAGTACACAGACATATAAGGATACATAAATCTATTCCATTAAAACCAAAGTTTCATGAAACAATACTTCTCTCTTCCTCTACAAAATGTATGATTACCTTTGTTATTGTTTTTGTTATATTCTATTTCATGGTTGGTCTGGTTTTCTTCCTTAAGCTGGTTGCTACCTACTGAATTGAATTCGGTACCCACCAAATGGGTGGTTACATACAATTTGAAAATAATGAGCTGATACTTAGCTCAATGCTAGGACCAGTAAACACTAAAATGTTAGTTATTGAAAATAATTTTTAAAGTTATGTCCCTATAGGTTGGTGGACTCAAAACACTCAAAAGGGATACAATGTTTACCTCTGAAATACTCAGGCAAGACATGTAAATGGCCCAGAGAAACATACACCAATGGCTTCAGTTTCTGATGCAGAGGCAGGTAAAATCCTGATGCTCATGTATTGTTGTCATTATGTCATCAGGCTGCAGTGAAGGAGTGGCTAAATATAGTGAGACATGAACTAAAAATCTTTATCAGGCCCTGCTGAATAAACAGAATGTTGAAATAGAGAGTAATACAAATTAGAAGTTGTCAGAAACAGATGCTCTAAAAATGGGTCATCCTAGTTAATACAATCATGTGATTAACTGAAAATTTGGGGGGGGGAGTCTCATTTCAATCACTGTGGCCACTACTGGTAAGCTTTCCAGCCTTATGAATTACAATTTACCCAGCATAATTACATTTTTGATTATGCTTAGCTAATTCAGCCATCACTCTGAATATCAATTAATTGTTAAAGTATTATAGGCATAAAGGTAAGAGATTGAGTTTAACGTCTACTGATCACAGGTCACACAGAAGAGATTGCTCTTTAAAAATAAATCCCTGAGAGTTTATATGAACATATGTCTTTTTCCTATTATATAACCATTTAAGTACAGGAAACAATCGACTTAGTGCTACACCTTTATTAATTCTGAATATTATTTGTCTCTATGTCTTCTCCCACTTGGTTTCCTCAAGGAGAAAGAGTACTAACTGAGAAGAGTTAAAAATCTACATTTTGTTTTGCACAGTCTGAGGAATCTTTATTATGAAATCTATACTCTGTTGCCCGGGCTAAGTGCAGTGGCATAATCTCAGCTCACTACAACCTCCGCCTCCTGGGCTCAAGCAATCCTCCTGCCTCCCAGGTAGGCTGGGACTAGCCCGGGCTAAGTGCAGTGGCATAATCTCGACTTATTGCAACCTCCACCTCCTGGGCTCAAGCAATCCTCCTGCCTCAGCCTCCCAGGTAGGCTGGGACTACAGGTGTGTGCAACCACACCCAGCTAATTTTTGTATTTTTAATAGAGACAGGGTTTCACCACGTTGACCAGGCTGGTCTCAAACTCCTGACCTCAAATGATCCATCTGCCTCAGCCTGCCAAAGTGCTGGATTACAGGCATGAGCCACTGTGCCCAGCCTGAAATCTATGTTTAAACTGTAAAGTTTGGAATGCTTCCAAATTCTTGAAATTGTTCATATATAAGGGAAAGTAAATTTTTTTCCTGCTACAAGATAAAAGATTTTATATAAGATATACAAAGAGAAATCATATGGAGAAAATCCATTTTCCCAAAATAAGTCATAAGTCACTTGGGGACTGTCAGCACTTTGTCATATATTACTAAACTCAAATCACACACACACACACACACACACACACCCTTCCCATTAAAAGGGAAAAAATACATATACAACATATTCACAATCTGCCAATTTCAAGAACTTTCTTACAATATGCCTTAAAATGTGAATATCTTAGTTTTAGACACTAGGTTTTTTGTGGGCGGAGCCTAACAAAGGCATGTGGAGCACAGGAATTTCCATTTAGCGCTACATTAATCTTACATGACATTTTTTGGAACATGAAATATTTTTGTCCTATATAAACAAATATTATAAGAGCATATGTTAAAACAACATTCCACTTTTCTAACACTGATAGAGATTAAATAATGAAAGAATTTTAAAACTCAAGTGAAATAATCAAAAGTAACTTTAGCTAACAAATAGTAATAACTGCTTAAAAGTAACTGATAATTCAGTAGAAAATAATGATAAAAGACCATTAAATCAAAGCCCAAATGCAGTATTAAGATGAAAAAACATGCTTTATATTTAATAATGTATATTTTGTAGATGTTAACAATTTCACATACATACACCCAAAATTAAAATCCATCAAAGTGGCAATGTATAGCAGAATTGGATGAAAATCTACCTACTTTTACAGACATGTTGATTCTTCCAATATTTCTGAATAACTTAAATATTGGGTGCTCTTGTGAGCCACGGGAGGTTTGTTAGTACAAAGATGATGTAGTAATTTACAAGCTACATTTACTGAAAACCCACTACCTACTGTGTAGTATTTGGGAAAGATGGTGTTTAGCATGAAAAATGTCCATAGTTCAAAGACATTGAAAAGTTTACCTTTTATATAGTCCTAGCAGTGCTCTAAGTTAACAGGACTTAAAGAGAGCTTGAATAGTCATATCAGCACCTGAGACCAAAGAGAGTCAATCCTGTATAGTGGGGAAACTTGAGTTAAACAGAAAAACAGTCTTCTTCTTGGGGATTTATTCCTGAGATTAAGCTCCACAGTGGATGCACCAAAGCCTTCTGACATCAACATTTTGTGTCAACGAACCTAAAGTTTCTTGATAACTAAACCCCTGCCAGGGAGTTTCAAAATGGACCAGGTTTTCTTACACTAAACTGTTCAATTAGGAAAGTGTTATAGAAAGATCCCATAATTAAAGAGGATTATCTCACTGGATTCCTCACACCCATATGCCAAATTATAAGGCATGGAGTAGTGGGCTGGGCTGAAACCAGCCTATACCAGCTCCTGAAAGTCAGTTGCTAAAATGTTCAGGAATTTTGTGGGCCAGTTATTAGTCACAACCATTATTTAAAATTAAATTATATAAACTTACAGCTAAATAAATTATATTAAAAACAGAGGTAATAAATCAAAACTTATCACTTTCTAATTATTTTACTATTAATTATATTTGCAGGATATTTACTTCTCTTGTATCTGTATGGTGGAAGTACTAAATAAGGGTGTGTTACTATGCATCTCTTCCTAATTTTGTGTTCAGTGATGTCACATTGGTCCTTTGAATTCAGCCATGGTGGTAGTATTTATACCATGGAAACTGGCAAGTGCTAAAACCTGAACTTTGGCCAGGCATGGTGGCTCACATCTGTAATCTCAGCACTTTGGGAGTCCAAGGCAGGCAGATCACGAGGTCAGGAGTTCGAGACCAGCCTGGCCAACGTGGTGAAACCCCCGCCTCTACTAAAAATACAAAAATTAGCCGGGCGTATGGCATATGCCTGTAATCTCAGCTACTCAGGAGGATGAGGCAGGAGAATCACTTGAAGCCAGGAGGCAGAGGTTGCAGTGAGCCGAGATCGCGCCACTGCACTCCAGCCTAGGCAACAGAGCGAGACTCCATCTCAAAACAAACAAATAAAACCTGAACTTTTTGGCTTGAGAGCTGATTATTAAACATTTACCACCATCGCTATTACTTCCTCATTTTCCCAAGTACATTTTGTGCCCATTCATAAGGATTTTGCCAATTGATGGCCTGATCCGAGAAACTTAACTAATCACCCAGGAGTGAGTGACTGTACTTTCTCCACGTCCTGATGGCACTTTTTGTACCTCCCACTCTTAATTATATCTTACTTATTTCTAGATCTTCTAAATAGTCTGTAAGGTCATTAAGTGCAGGGACTTAGTCAACTAAATCATTTTGCCCTCTGTGCTATATACACTGCCTGGCACAGAATGAACATGCATTTACTATTTGATTAACTTAACCAAACTAACATGAAAGAAATCAGATAAACTCTGTCATACATATTTTGTTAAATGAAGAGACCCTAGCTCACCAGCCTAACTTTATGTATTTTGTTTTAGAGACAAGGTCTTGCTCTGTTGCCCAAGCTAGAGTGCAGTGCCCAATCACCACTCACTGCAGCCTTTAACTACTGAGCTCAAGCAATCCTCCAGCCTCAGCCTCCAAAATAGCTGGGACTAAAAGCATGCACCACTATGCCTGGTTATTATTGTGTGTGTGTGTGTGTGTGTGTGTGTGTGTGTGTGTGTGTGTAGAGATAAGGTCTTGCTATTTTGCCTACCAGACTAACTTTATTAGGGATAGTAATCAATCCTGGAAATGCACAAATCAATGGTTCCCGCCCCAATAAGGTGTTGCCAACAAGACCATATTAAGAACACAGACTGATATCACCTGTTTTAACAAGCTTTGAAGGATATCATATTTGATAAAAATGTACAGAATAGATATATCCTTTTTGTCATTGCTCACATAAAAGACAACACGTGATGTAACTGCAATGCCAACAAATCAGGTGACAAGAACAATAAGAGTCTTGACCTAAAAGGACCCCTCTTATTCTTTCAAAGCATTAGCCTCTGGAAAGGTAAATGCTGACATGACATCCTGCCCCTTCTCTGTCCCCTGCCCTTTACTTGACTACATGTGAAAGCAACAGGAAAAACTCTTAATAAAATTATATGCTTTTCTAAAATGTGTTGGCAACTGGAAGCAGCCTGTAGTATAACTGTCAATGAGCAAGGAGCAAGGATAGAGTACTTTCAGCCAATGGTGTGCCAAATTGTGAACAAACTGTGGAGAGAGTCCAGGAAAGATCTCAAGTGGATACTTCAGTGAACAGTAAGTAACTAAGAACTTCAAAGGATTGCCCTACAGACTCCTGAACCTAAATTAAAGGTAAAAACAACAGCCCTCAGAGCAATTAGCAGGCTTCAACTGGGATGTGCATTCCTGATAAGAATTAGCCGGGAAAGGGCACAATGTACCTTGCAAAATCTGAAACGTTGCCTAAGGAGTAAGCAATCAGAGCACCTGGGTTCTTCTGGCAATATCTGCGCTCACCTTTCCTGGTTGTGGGTTTGTCCGATACCCTAGTGCAAATAGATTGAAAGCCAGAGCCTGAATCACACTGGTTAAAATTTATGGTTTCTCATGTACACTATCATATTTAAGTATACTACTATCTAGTGTTTTCATTATAGAGATCTCCCATTTTCAGTTACTCATTTTCTGATTCAGTATCCTTTAGGTATTATTGTGACCAAAATATGTAGCAGTCTGCTTTCCAAATAATAAGTGAGTCACGATTCTGGGGTCCAGGACAAGCAAGTATACATCCCTGCTTTTAGAACTGTTTCATATTTAAATTTAGATGTGCCATAGAAGTTTTGAAGTTTTGTTAATGCTCCTTTTATTGAGACTGAATCTGGTCAAACAGTATACCAAAATGATAACAACTTAAGAAATTTACTTGTTTTTTTTTTTTTTTGAGACGGAGTCTCACTCTGTCACCAGGCTGGAGTGCAGTGGCGAAATCTCGGCTCGCTGCAACTTCTGCCTCCCGGGTTCATGCGATTCTCCTGCCTCAGCCTCTTGAGTAGCTGGGACTACAGGCCTGACCAACAGGAAGAAACCCCATCTCTACTAAAAATAGAAAATTAGCCATGCGTGGTGGCACATGCCTGCTATCCCAGCTACTCAGGAGGCTGAGGCAGGAGAATCGCTTGAACCTGGGAGGCGGAGGTTGCAGTGAGCTGAGATCGTGCCATTGCACTCCAGCCTGGGCAACAAGAGCGAAACTCTGTCTCAAAAAAAATAAATACACACATAAAATAAAAAATAAATGAAGATGAGTTTATGAAGACAGCTGCTGCCACCGCAATCACAAAGAAGACCTAGGTTAGTAGGAGCATCCAGTCAGAACACAAAGTTGCAAATATTGTAAGGACATTATCTCAGTGACATTCAAGCCTGCAGTGCAAAGAGCTTCTCCGGTAAGAAAGTTAACAGGGATTTCTAACATCTGGAGTGCACAAGTGTTACACAAGGAAAAGAGAAGTTTGTGTCAATTAAAGCTAGAAAAGATAGTGTTAAAAAGTTGGAAAAATAAAAGAAATCTAAAGCTCGAGTCTAACATAAAATCCTTCTCACAGCTTAGAAAAGCTTTCCTCTGTGTTGACAGGTCAAAGAGCAACTCTGCAAATGAGCTAATAATTGTCAAAACTTTAGCCAGACCTTTCCACCATGTGCCAGGACTAAGTGGCTTTACCCAGAGAACAGCAGCTTGAAAAAGTCTTGGGGTTCAAATAGATTTGAAACTACCTCATTGTTTTGTGAACTAAGGAAAATTAAATAGCTAGGCAACCTCCAAAAAGAAAAAGAAAAATGTTATATAGAATTCATAAACACGTTCTAAAAGCCAGTGCATTTGTTTAGCATATGTGTCAAATGCAAACAGAAGCAATAGTGATATTCCTTTCTCATTCTATAACCATTGGGGAAACAATATACCAACATTCTTAGGCATTAAAGAGATCCCTCTTATCTTGTTGATTAATTCTAATTCTCTCATTCTAAATCTGAGTGCTACTCCCAGATAGGACATAATACTTACTGGGATGGGCACTGCTTGGAGTGGCAGAGATTTCATTCCTCCACTTTCTGGTCAATTCTTATTTTAACCTTATTCCCAATTTAGAATTTTCATATTTTATCATCTGAGATTAAATCGTTCTAGAAGGTAAGCAATTCTTTGTAGGCCAAAAACTTCCCACCTCCCTCAACCTACCTAGAGAATTTTAAATGCATTTTCCAAAGATGTTGGGTAGGTTTTTATACATGGCAAGACCCTGATCTCTACAAAAAAATTTTTAAAAATTAGCCAGGTATGGTGGCGCACACCTGTGGTCCCAGCAACTCTGAAGGCTGAGGCAGGAGTTTTGCTTGAGCCCAGGAGGTTGAGGCCACAGAGAGCTATGTTCACACCACTGCATTCCAGTCTGGTTGACAGAGTAAAACTCTGTCTCAAAAAAAAAAAAAAAAAAAAAAATTATTATAAGTCACTGTAACCTCTAACATAAAAAAAGAATAAGTTTGCTTCTTGTTTTCATAAACACTGGATTATATTCTATAAAGTGATGCTTGTGGTCTTTGTTAATCAGCATATTGAGCTGATTTACTTCAGGCATCCTATTATTTATTCTCTGGTGGTTTTATTTTAAAGTAAAAGATAATGTAGTTAGAGATTTTAAGAGATAACAGCATGAGATTAGATATTCTGCAAACACTGGCAATTTCATTAACAATAATAACTAAAATGGACAAATTTTATTAGTGTGCCAGGCACTCATTTAAGCACTGTAACTCAATATTTCTCAAAACCTACATCTGGAATGGGTACTTTCCCATTTTGAATATGTGGAAACTGAAGGAAAGTGGTCAGATCATGTAGTAAAAACATGTTGGAATGTATATTCCCACTCAAGCAGTCAAGTTCCAATGTCCGCACTCTTAAACACTATGCTCTATACTATGTGTGGAGATCAGCATTTGATAAGTATTCTTTTGCTTAAACACAAAATGGGCATAAAATATCAGTGACTCAACTAACAAAAAACAGTTTTTTAAATTTCTATTTTTGAACCTTGGGTATATGTAATCTAGTAACTTTAATTTGGCTTAGGAAAAATTTACACTTCTCCAAAATTGCTTTTCTCTCCTTAATTCACACTAGAGGCCCACTCTAGAGGCCATGTGGGCCTCTTTTAAGACAGAAGTTCAAAATCCCCATTTCCTGGTAAGACCGTGAGTGTACTTAAATAACTACTGTTGTCCCCTTCATAATGAATGACCAAACAGTGCCTTATGGGATGCAGGTGCCAGGGCAATTAGGTGATGGTCACAGCCCACCCTCATTCCTGGCTGATAGGACTCTGCCAGCCACTGGTCTCCCTCTCTTGTGGCTGCCCACTAGACAGGGCAATGGGCTACAGAAGCAATAGCAGAGAGAGGGCTGATCAAAGTCCAGGCAAGAGAGGCAGTTCATAAGCAGCTGCAGGTCAGAGCAAACAGGATTCTGCAGCCAAACAACCAGGGATTATGCATGTGAATATTCAGGTTGTAAATGCACATTGACATACACTGTAGTCTAAGAGGCTGTCCACCAATCTTCTTGATCCTGCTTCCAGAGGGAGAGTTAGTGACAGCAAACCTCCAGAAAACAAATGTGCTCTCTCCTCTGCCTGACTTTGTTTACATTTCGGATTACTCAAGTTTTGGGAAATTCCACTTGGCGGAATTTTACTATCATTGTGGCAATGTGTTTGTAATTCTTTTTCGGTAGGCTTTTACTTGTTTGGGTAGTTTTGAGACTATGGAAAGACTACTGATAGACTGGAATTATCCTAGGCAAGTTCTGAAGTGAATCAGCAAACTGTAAGACAGACAGAGCTTTGACACTTGCCACATCTCAGGAGTATGGTCAGTTATAAAATATATGGTCAGTTACCAACAAAGCCCCAAGCTTCACTTGTGAATCACTAGATGTGGGCAGCGATGCAAATATTACCATGCCTTAATAGTCATTAACATTATAAATGCTGCACAGGCACTGGGACAAGTCACTGCTGGCTTACTTGCCAGCATACCCAAAACCTGGCACAGCATGGGCACATAGTAAGGTGCTCAAAGATTCATGGAGTGAAAGAATAAATGAAAGGATATAAACCTCATCAGGATCATGCTCTTAAAAACCAGGCAGAACAGCTTAGATGGCAAGAGCATGTTCTAGCTTATCACGAAAATTTTTAAAAGGAAAAAAGTATACACACAACTTTCTATATATGATATATATAAGTACTTAAAACACATTTACATTTCTTTAATAACTTATTTTATAATCACATAATCTATATTGAATATCTGGAGGAAATACAAATACAGTAGGACCCCCTTACCCACAGTTTCACTTTCTGTGGTTTCAGTTGCCCTTGGCCAACTGTGGTCCAAAAATATTAAATGAAAAATTTCAAGCAGGGCTCTGTGGCTCACACCTGTAATCCCGCACTTTGGGAGGCTGAGGCGGCAGGTCACCTGAGGTCAGGAGTTCAAGACCAGCCTGGCCAACATGGCAAAATCCCGCCTCTACTAAAAACACAAAAAAATAGCCGGGCATGGTGGAGGCAGGTGCCTGTAATCCCAGCTACTTGGGATGCTGAGGCAGGAGAATCGCTTGAACCCAGGAGGCGGAGGTTGCGGTGAGCCAAGATCATGCCACTGCACTCCAGCCTGAGCAATAAGTGCGAAACTCCATCTCAAAAAAAAAAAAGAAAAGAAAAGAAAAGAAAACGAAAAAATTTCATAAATAAACAGCTTTTAAATTACACACCCTTCTGAGTGGCGTGATGAAATCACATGCTGTCTCACTCCGTCCTACCCGGGACATGAATCATCCCTTTGTCTAGTGTGTCCATATTGTACAGCCCACTTGCCTGTTAGTCACTCAGTAGCCATTTCCATTATCAGATTGAAACAACATGGTATAGTATATTTAAGGGTGGGTTCCATACGAGTTTCAGACGTCTACCGGGCACCTTGGAATGTATCCCCCAGAGATATGGGAGGGCTAGTGAACTACCTGGTAGCATTAAAGTTTATTTATACATACATAGGAAATACATATATGTGAAAAAAGTTGGGGGGACTGCTCTTTATGATACATGATTGCAGAATCACCCATTATTCACAAGAACCATGCTCATTCTTCTTTATTATACCACTTTCCCCAACATTGAGAGGCAATGTATCACTTAAACATGCAAATATATGAAGCATTTATTTATTGTTTTCATTTCCCTTCTTCAGCATACACACTTTTTGTGCCTTCAGCAATACTTTCCTTATTGTCAAAGTTTCTATTCCTAACAAAATTTACATTTTTATGGTAGTTTACAAATATAAAACTACTTTCACATATATTATTCATTTCACCTTAAAAGTGTCTGGTTCAGTAGACTAGACAAGACATTAAAGTCATTCTTCATTGTAATATTCTCATTTTGGTGATAAAGAAATGAAAGATCAAGCAGAAAGGACTGCTCCCAAATTTCAGAAAGTGACAGAGCTTAAGACTGGAACATAAGTCCTCCTGTAGCAAGGCCAGTGCTCTGTGCATTAAACAGCCTCCTGCATAGATCTCCAAAGGCATTGGTTCTGAGGTAGGTTGCTGCCAGCCCCTTCACCTCATTCATATATTTCCTGAGCATTTAAGTGTTGGTTTAGATAAAGGGGCATAATGAGTCAACACCAGATAGCAATCTGCTCCAACTGACCAGGTGGTTAGGGCAAATTATTACAAACTTCATCATTTAGGACTGACAGTCATCACATAAGGACATAAATAAGACAGAAAAAGAGTCATAAGTTATTATCATAAGTTATTTATGATAATAGACAAAAGTGTACGAAAACAAGCCTCCAGTGACAAAGGGAAGCATGATGAAGTCAGTAAACCTTCCTCCTCAACCACTGTCTACACCCCTATGTGCCAGGCCAGCTGCCCTGGCCATTGAAGGTCCATTACGGACCATTAAAGTGCCTGGAGACTATCCCCTGGCCTCAACTGGCACAGCCATGGTCCTCAGTCAAATCCACTAGCACTAACATGTGATTAAGACAGCCTGGGTAAATCTCTCATTAGGAGAGGAGGTAGCTAGGCAAACAGCTGCTACTTCTCTACATTTTATTCATTATTCAGTACCCCAAGATATTTCTTATAGCAACTCTTCCTAATATCCCATGTTGCTCAGATATACATAATAAATTTAGGCAGCAGAGGTTAGAGGATCAAAATTAAAAATAAAATCACCATCATCTCTTGAGGTTTTCAAAAATAGTAGAGTTAGTAGGTTTTGTCTGTGTCAATATCATTTACCACAGCTTACTTTACCCTTTGCTTTCTATTAAAAATAAATAAATGCATACATGCAAACACCTATACATGCATACATGTATAAATTCTGTCATGATATCTGAAAACCAAGCAGTTATCTAAGATAGTCTCTTGCATTCACAGACATATTATCACCTTATATGCAGACTACTATTCTAATCAAATCCAATCACTAAGTCAGGTTTATATTTGGAAATATTGTTTCAGAAATTTGGAATACAAGCCAAAAATTTTTTAATCTTAAATAATAATTATATAGATTACTGTTAAGGAAAATGATATATATATAGTATACATTAATATATGATACATATATAGTAAGAACACTAACCTATACATTAAAATCTTTAATTTGAGCTCAAGTTCTTCCTACCTGTATGACTTTGGGCAACTTACGTCAAATGAAGGGGTCATTAATTTCTAAGATCTTTTTTAACACCAAATTCTACAAATTTTTAATGTTAGACTAATTCAATACTGAGACAAGGAAAATAAAATAATGGAAATAATATAAATTCATGCTTTAAAGTAGTCCTTAAAGGGAAAGCCAATAAATAAACACTCTCAGATTAAAAACAGGTGATCTGTAAATGTATACAAGCCTGCCAGACACAAATTGCCTCTTTCCTCTCTTTCTCTTCCACGCTTTCCCACTTAGAGATCACCTAGTGGTCCACAACAGAGAACAATCTGATCCTACTGTCTCTTCCCCATCATCTCCCATCTTCTTTCTTCCCCATTAGAAAGATTACAAACCCTGGGCCAAGCCAATCAGCACACTAACTTCCCCTCAGTCAGAGCCTTAGATTCAATGGTTGGAAACAAGATCAGTGGATTCAAGCACTGTAAACCTTAGAGCCTTATCAGGTGCAACCAGCAGATAATTCACATTTCCTTAAGGGACTTGAACCTGGGATCTTGTTCGGTGGGAGCTGCCACAGCCATCGTGCCTCTATATGGAGCCTAAGAAGCTCCTGGAATACCCTAGAACTAAACTAAGCAGGCAGAGAAACATCATGTCTCAGTGGAATTACGTCAACTTCTAAATCAAGCTCCACCTGAACTGTAGTTAGGAGAGACAAATAAATTCACCTTTTGTTGCAACCAGTCTGGGTTACATTTTCTGCCAAGATGCAACCAAAGAAATGTCTAATCTTTAAACATTTGTGTACATTCATTAACGAATCTTGACTCTACCAGTGACTCATATAGCCACTTGGGACAAGTTATTACTTAACCCCTCGAGGCCTTAGTTTGTAAAATGGAGATGATCCTCATCTTAAAGGATATTGTGAGGATTTAAAATTATGTAAAACACTGATCACAGGCCCTAGCAGGTCATGGGCTCTCAGTAAATTACAGCTCATATTGTTATTTTTGCAATTGCTTTAGGAAAAGCTCTCTTCTCCAACATATAAGAAAATAAATGAACCTAATTATTGCTCATAAGAATAAAAGCAGTACTAGTAAAAAAGACAAGTTCCAGAATTTGGAGTCAAACTAGAAAAAGTAACTGTGAAGTTCTTGAAGATATACGAAAGTGCCCTCTCAGAGTCTCTCCACCACTACTTCTCCTCTAACAGTGATCAGTCTCCTATTAAATCTTTCTTTAAACATTAGTGTCTAAATTAAGTACATATGGAAATACACTGATTTACAGTTCATTAATTCAATAAATTATATATTTTATATTTAAGACAATATAGGTTATGCAGACTTTTATTTACAGTATCAAAAATATAGAGAACGTTGCTATTATCCCAAACTCCAGCTTCTGATCTCATGATACAGCCAACTGTAATGGGTGAACATTAATTTTTACTTCTTGTTTTTTATTAGTCTCTGCCATAACCACGTCATTATGCCAATATTTTCTGAATCACTAGTGAATGGCAAAAACAAATATAGCAGTTGTGATTTAATCAGAGACAACACTGTTGAAACAGCTAGCACAAGTAGACACATTTAGAATAGTAAATGGATAACAAAAAACACTTACAGGCTCATTAATAAGAAGGCAATTAGGTCTTCTGGGAAAATTCATTTTCTAAAAGAATGCTAAAGCAAGCTATAAAATGCAAGTAAAATTGTGTTTTGACATGAATAGTGTACACTGTCTATTACATCATAATTTTTCTCTTGAGAAAACTGACAAGAATCTCTGTTCTTAAATATGAGCACAAAAGATAATAAAAAGAACACCAGTTATATTTAATGCATTCTACCTACCAACTCCCATTCATTAAATTTGACTGTCCTATAAATGAGCTCCTTACTACAAAGATCTTAAATTACACTTAGATGAAAAAGAGAATTATAAAGCAAGAGACTGCTACTAGTAATGTCAGAGGGAATAGTATTTCCTGTATCAACATAACATTATGCTAAAAATGATTTGCATATAGCATGTTTGGTTCCTTGAAGAGTATGTTTATCTTTAAATATTCTTATACAAAATATTCATAACCAAAACTAGTCTTACTTTTAGTCTCTTATGAAAATATTTTTTTTCAAAGTCATCTGAGCATTCTTTTAAAAAGCTTGTATAGTACTGTTGTTTTGATGTGTCTGGAATATTAAATAATAATCAAGTAAATATTGATCAGAAATATACTCCAGGGGCCGGGCATGGTGGCTCACACCTGTAATCCCAGCATTTTAGAAGGCTAAAACAGGAATATCACTTCAGCTCAGGAGTTCGTGACCAGCCTGGGCAACATGGTAAAACCCCATCTTGACTAAAAATACAAAAATTAGCTGGGCATGGTGGCGCACCTGTAATCCCAGCTACTTGGAAGCCTGAAGCAGGAGAATCTCTTGAACCCAGGAGGCAGAAGTTTCAGTGAGCCGAGATCGTGCCACTGCACTCCAGCTTGGGTGACAGGGCAAGACTCCATCTCCAAAAAAAAAAAAAGAAAGAAAGAAAGAAAGAAATAAAGAAAAAGAAAAAGAAAGGAAAAAGAAATATAAATCCAAGGAAATGTATTTCAGGTTATCATTAATCCTTTTGCAATATTCTTGAAATTCTATGGTAAAGTTCATGTGACAATCTTTTTAAACTGAGCTTTCTTTGTCCTAGAGCAGTGTTTCCCAGAATTAAATGTTCCATCAAATCACCTGGGGATTTCATCAAAATGCAGATTCTGATTCAGTAGATCTGGGGTGACTCTGATGATCACAGATCATCACAAATTTCCAGATGATGCTAATTATATTGGTCCATGAACCACAAAATCCCAGGACACCTTGCAGTGAGGAATCCAATGACCATGAAGCAATCAGTCATCAATCCCTGGGTGGGTAGTGAGGACCCTAGAAAGCCTTCCTCTCTACTCTTGAATTTACTGAATGACCTAAGAAAAATCACATCAAGGAACTGTTGCCAGTCTGTCACTTAAGCAGCTGCTAGGTCACCTCCACTATCCAACACGGATTAAGGGAATTTCTGTGGCTGGTCAGCTGCTGCCTTGAACAGCGCTTGGAGAATCGGCCTATGAGCAGCTGGTTAAGGAACAGGCTGCACTGGGAAGGGTTTATATTAATAGATACCAATCTGGAGAAAGATTTATTATTTTATCCTTAAAAGTATAACAGTATAGTATAGTATACAGTATAGATTATATACAGCTTATTTTCCACTTGTTTCTACATCTATGAAATAAAGTAGTGATCTATTTTCACTACTCTTTCCAAAAATGTTAAGTATGGAGTTTTGATACCATCTCTAGATGCCCTTACCTTCTTTCTAACCTAAATGTTTCTACAACTAAGTCCTAGCATTGTTAAGATGTGTGTGTGTGTGTGTGTGTGTGTGTGTGTATTCACACAGAGGACTACATACTTACATCTTTCACATTTCCCAACAAAATAAATACAAACAATAACTCCACTACGCACTATTTTATTTTGCCTTGTTTCTGAATTCCCCTTATTAAAACAATTCCTAGAATGACACCTGTTGGAGGATTCAGCCAGCACTGCCCTGTTCATCATTTTCATTATCAGAGCTCAATAATCATATCAAGTGGAAACACGGATTATTCCATTTAGGACAACTTAATTTGATCCTAAAACAACTGTAAGTGACAAAATAAGCCACTTGTAATTTTTATGGATTATCAACACACGAAGGAGAATGCCAAAAATTTCAACCAGAGTTAAGTGGGGAAATGGCAATGTTCCACGAGAGGATCAATGTGATCCTTAGATCCCAGGCCCAGTGTTTTCCCAGAACCTCAACAATCTAAAAAAAACCTCACGAAACTAAGTTTTAAAATTACATACACTTAGTTTTCATTATTAAAATATTAAATACAGATCAAAAGAATTCCCACAAGAATACAAAAGGAAAATAAACATACTTCCCACAACAGAATCTTCATGAAACTTTAAAAACCTTTTATGTGAAACTACGTTTCTTTAGGAGTATTTTCACAAAACACATTTGCACTAATGTGGAGTGTGAAGTTTACAAACTATTCAGAGTTCACACTGATATCAAACATCATAACATTTTTTCAGTTTTCCAAGGCATAGTTGTATGTAACTTATCTCACTTATCTCAAAATATCAAGCAATGTGGTTCTGAAATTGTCTATCCCCATTTATAAAAGGGAACTTAAAGACTTCAGAAACAGCAACAAATAAATGTTCTGTGACATTAAAAGATTAGTTCATGGATATGCAAGTTTGCTTTTTGCTTCAATTGAAATAAAAAATAGCCTGATTAATGTATTATTCACTTACTTTGTTATCAAATACTGTTTTAAGACCTATCATGAATTGATGTCTTGTACTTTTTTTTTTCAGTACTATGACAAACAGCATGAGTTTTGATTAAAAAAACAAGTCATGTTCAAAAGCAATTACAACCTTTTTAGGCAAAAAGAAACACCATTTGAAGAAGGAACACAGACCAGATACATATGATCAAAGTGTAAAGACTGAGAAGAATACACAGAGGGAAATTTTTACATTGACAGAACTAGAAAATGTGTTTGCGCAAAGGCAAAGGCTGATTTCAATAAACAAGTCAAAAATACCATAGGACTTTTTTCCTCTTCTAAAAATTAAGTAAAAGATCAAAAACACATACACACACTCACACACACACATACACGTGCACACACACAGAATCCCTGTGTTCTTTGTTTTGTCTTTAAGAACAATCTGTAAACTTTCTTGATGCTTCCTGCTCTCAATCTTCCAGCATCTCTCTTCCTGCACTCCATGAAAAGCAAGTAGGGGAAATGGGAGCAGCACAGATCCCTATTTAGCATGATGTTCACTGTCTTTAATACCAGTTTGAGTAGACCTGGTATACTGCACTTTAAAAATATTAGTAGCCAACACACTTTTTCTATATGGAATCTTATCACATGAATTAAATATTACCTTAAAGGCCAGAAAAACCTGTAACAAACCATCATTGCTAGAAATATGAGATTTGGTGGGAATGTTGGCATTAGCTTTGGTTAGTGGATGAGTCATATTTCCAGTTCTTAAGGACATGTACAGCACTAAAATATATTTGGCAAAAACAAAAGGGCTGTGATCTTGTGTATATATATGTGGGGCTCTGTTTTTGCTAGAAAAGAGTAGGAGGGAGTGTGGGAGGGGGCAGAGTGGCAGAGGGGTTGATTTATTTTTGAAATTCACTTTTATGAGCACAAAGAGAAGAGCTGTCAGCAGCACACATGCCAATGTCCAAACAGCAGCCAGACTCTCCTCTTTCCGTCTGGGTAGGCCAGACACAAAACTACATCTCACGACCTAGGAAAATCAAGAGTCAGATGCAAGAGAACTAGAGAGAGAAAAAAAAACAGTCCTGGAAATGTCCAGCTACATATGATTGCTAGTGATTAGAACG
Organism: Homo sapiens; assembly: GCF_000001405.40. NCBI lineage: Eukaryota > Metazoa > Chordata > Mammalia > Primates > Hominidae > Homo > Homo sapiens. Next base: position 865,786 of record NT_187556.1, read on the forward strand.
TGGAGTTTTAATGAATTGAGGGATCGAGGGATATTTAGCCAATCAAAACCAAAAAAAACTAACAGGCAAACCTTAAAGCAAGCTGGCTCCAAAGTATCTTCCTAGCAGGTAATAAGTATAAGAGAAATTAATCTCACCTAAAGAGACAACAAGGAGTCAGATACTGCTCAGGTGCTGCTTAGATGAGTTACAGCATTCTAAGTGCACATCAACAGGGTGACATGTCAGGAACTATAGACAAAGCAGGATCTCGAGCTGTATTTCCAGGCTCCTATCATACAAGAGAGACAATAGTCCCTCTCTAGGTCATTGATAAGACTGCATCTAGAAAGCTACATATTATTCTCAACACAGAGTTGAAAACCTGAACCAACAGTTAAACAAACAGCTAAAGAAACTGACTAAAAATATTTTTTTCTGTAGTTAGAAATGCCAGGAATGTTAATAGTGACTCTTCCATGGGTCTAACTCAAGTAAGGATTTATACGAGGTAAGTTAAAAAAATTAAGGATAATCGATCATTGTGCTGACAAAATTATGGTCTGGCCAATCTAGTATGTTTATGTTTAACAATAACTATGTTAAACAATAATTAAATGAATGACTGGCTGAGTGAAAACACACACACACATGCACACACACACGTGCGCACACACACACTCACACACAAATCCTGAACAGCCTGCACTTACTGGAGAGAGAATTTGGAAGGAGTAAAAAGCTGAGACTAAGGCACTTAATGATGATTACACCCCAGATAGCTGCACAGTGCTTTACAATTTACAGTGCTAGTTCCCATAAATTACTTCATTTAATCATAAAAAACATGTGGAAAGGTCAAGTTGGGTATTATTATCCCCATTTTACAGAGGAGAAAGCTGAGTTTCCAAGTCACCTTACCTGCATCTGGTTTCGTCAGTCATCTAAGTCCTTCTACAGAAAACTTTCTTACATTATATCAAGAGATCACAGCTATACAACCCAGTGAATAAACTTTAATACTTCTTTATTCTTCTATGCCTCGGTTTCCTCAGATATGACATGGGTGTCATTTTAAGTGAGAGGTGAAACTGAAAGAATGTATGAGTTGGGATTTACAGAACGTTCTGGTTTTAAAGAGGCTCACAGTGCAGCAGTTTTACACTTTAACTGCAAAAGCTAAGAAAAAAGTCACAATAATGAAAACACTCTTACATTTTTGGTTTAAACAAAGAAAACTGAATAAGTATATGACACATCAAAGTCCCAACAATGCTCAGCCTTTCAAAATTTGCTTTTGAAGCTTACTACATTAGGAACCACATGATATCGGAAAGTAAACTGATCTTAATGAGTATGATTTGAAAGACATACTTCAGATATTTTTAAATTCTCAACATGAATTTGTCTTGGACTTTTAAAGTGGGTTTATTTAAATTTCTCAAAAGGAATAAAAGTTCACTAGTTAAAGTAAAATATAAGAAAAACCAGCAATATGGAATACACCTCCAATCTTCAATACATCTCTAATCTATGTCTGCAACAAATCTGACTGCCATAGAATTTTATGACAATAAAATATCAAATGATTTATGGTAGCCAGAAAAAAAAGGAAGTATTTACAAAACAAACTTATAATTTGTGGAGAAAGGCAAATCCACAATCTGACTTTAAACTCTGGGAATAAAAGACATTCATTTCTGGGCATACATTCCTAAAGGGCAAAATCTTGAGATGCAATCCTGTGATTACTGTACTTTTTAGGAATGCACATTATATTAATTAAATATACAACATCATGTCAAATGTTATGCTTTGTCACTAAAGAAAAGCCAGGCATATTTAGTTAAAGTACTTAGAACTAGATATCTAAGAACACAATTGTTTATTGTACGTATCTAAACTCCAGGTATCAGAAAAGCTCATTTTCACATTCAGCTGGAGGAAAAGTAGTATTTATTTGTTAATTAAAGGGTAAATAACATTTAAAAAGAGAAAAAGTTTTCTAACTGCTGAAAATATATCCATCGCTGTTGAGACATTAATAGTTGCAACTCTTGAATACATGTAAGTTTAATTATGCAACTGGTAGAGTTCAAACTTTCAATTAACAAACTACAAGCCTTTTCAAGCGTAGGCTCTCCGTGCAGTGACAAACACTGTGCAGAAATCAATACTCACTCCAACTTGCCTGCATATAATGAGTTACATCAAGCACGGTTTCAATGCTAACGGGCATTATATGTCAGAAATGCATGCAGTAATGCTTACTCCAGAAAGAATTCAATTAAACCATTGGATTATTTTTTGCATAGAGCTGTTACCCTCTGCGTACATCAATTATATACAGGGCTTTTCCTCTGCGTGCTGCCATTTCATAATCTCTGCCTGAATGTACGACACATGCTGCCACCTGAATCTGTTGTTTAACTCCCTTTACAGAGTTCTAAATGGGGCGGGGGTAGGAGAGCAATGGAAGGGAAATAAACGATTACTCCAGAAAACAACAATTTGAGTTTATTTCCAGGAAACAGGGCCTCCACAACAACGTGAGAAACTGTCAGGTACAAAGTAAGTTATTTGCGTCCTGCGGCTTCAGCCAGGAGCGTGGCTGTCGCTTTTCCCGTCTTCTCCATCACCCTCTGGCCACCACTGCGTCTCCATCTGCACCGCGAACCCCAGCAGCAGATGCGCTCGCCAGCCAAGCGAAGCTGGGTAGGTTGGCCAGAAAAGTTGTCAGGACTGGCGGGAGGTAGACAAGTGCTCGGGAGCCCGCTCCCCAGCGTCCACCTGGTGAAACTTCAGAGCCCCCAGAGGAGAGAACGAAAGAAGCAACCAACCTACACGAAGGATAACAAAACTGGAGGGGAACAGAGGGCGGGACCGGGAGAGCCAGGGTTCACGGACTTCTCTGAGCGGCTTGACCGAGAACCCCCAGGGCTACAGCGAGACGCTCCACTTGTCTCCTTTTGGGTTCTCCGGCAGAAGGCAGACATTTACAGTCCGCTTCCAGCCCCAGGCCGGATCCGGGGAGCGCGGGGCCAGAGCCCCAGGCCGGATCCGGGGAGCGCGGGGCCAGCCTGGCGGTGGTTTTGCCCGAGGAGCGGGCTCCCACGCGCGAGTCAGGCTTCCTCCACCAGGCGCCCAGACCTCGATGCCCATGAACGCTCAGAGTGGGTCCTTAGAACCGCATTTCAACACATCTTACAGGGCTCCGCCAACACACACACAGAACATGCTCCAAGCAGTGCCCGAGCGCACAGGGCAAGCCCGGGAGCAACCCAGAGCTGGGGGAGGAGAAAAGGGGACTCCGGGAGGGACGGGGAAGTAGTTAGACAATAGTCAGGGGAGGTTATTCCCGGGACAAAAAGCACCTGGCAAAGCGCGCCGAGGTCAGTCCCTTCGAATCTCCACATTTCTGACAATGGCTTCCCAGGGAATTTGTTTAAACACCCAAGTGGCAGACAGCAACAAACCCGCACCACAAGCAACAGAGTGCCGTCACGGGAGTCGTAACTACTTTTTCTTTCTCTCTTCCCCACTAGCCCGGCGCAGGCCACGCGAGACGCCGAAGCCAGCAGGTCCCCACACTCTCCGGCTAGACCGTGCCAGCCTGAGCCCCGAGCAAGCTTCGGAGAGGAACAATGGGTGCCCCGCGTCCCACCTGGCACGAACTCTGGGGACAGCCCTCCCTCTACCCTGTGTTCCCCACCCCCGGACAGAGAGAGCTCCCCACGATCCTTGTCCCCAGCCCTAGCGGGGACCTGGCTCACCCCTCGTGAGCCCAGGACTCCAGGCGTTCGTCGGGGACGCCCCCCGGCCACTCACCTGCGGAGAACTGGCCTTGGGCCGATCCCAGGAGAGGCCAAGGAGAGAGGAGCAAGAGCGCCACAAAAGCAGGCAGCGCCGCCGCCGCAGTCGTATCCATGCCGAGTTTGGGAGAAGTTTCAAGCAGCTTTGCAAAGAGCTGCCGGGGGGATCGCCGCGAAATCCACGACGGAGGAGCGGGCCGGGCCTCGCGGGGTGAGGACGGTGAGAGGACAGCCGCCCGCCCGCCCTTTTTCCTTCTTCGCGGTCGCCAAACTACCTCAGGGGCGAAAGCGTCGCCAGCGTCGCCGGCCGGCCGCGGCGGCAGCTCTCCATGCTCGGCGGAGGCTGCTCCTGTTAGTCAAGAGTTACTTTGCTCGGGGAGGGACGGGGGCGGAGCCGGGGGTGACGTCGCCCCGCGGGCTCCGGGCGCTTCTGAGGAATGCGGGCTCGGGCGCGGCGCCGCCACCGCCTCCTGCCGGAGAGACGCGCGCCAGCCCCGGCCGCGCGCCCCGCGCCGCCTTTGTTCGCAGCCTGGGCCCCGCCGCCAGCCGCTGCTCGGAGGGAGCGAGCGAGAAAGGGGAGCCGGCGCAGCTCGCTGCCCTGTTCCAGAACTCAGAATTTGAGAGGCGAGAGTTCGGTAAGCCGTGCGACCAGACGACCGAGGACGCGCGCAGAGAAACCCCCGCCGTCCGAGGAGAGGCGTCCTGGGGTTCCGTCCCAAGGTGGAGGTCCCCCCGAGCGGTTGCTGATTGAAAGGGGAGTGTGGAAGCGCCCTGAGGAAACACCCGCCTGCCTTGAAAACTCCCCGTTCCTTATTCTTGTAATAAGGAATAAGACACCCCACCCCCATCGAAAACTTGTCCCTTATTCATAGAATAAATAAAACTTGAACCAGAATAAACGATC